>NC_000002.12:23418846-23570361 GCF_000001405.40 Homo sapiens | reverse complement strand
TATTGAGACGTGCACCTCGCGCCATTCCCCAGCTCCCGGGACTCCTTTTCACAGTGCCAGAAGGGTACAAAGTATTCACCCACCTTTCCCAGAAAGCAGAGGAGGGGAAGCTAGGCATGCAGATTTTTGCTGCCATCAATAGGAAAGGCATGTGACAGCAGTCTCTGAGTGCATACAGATGCCTGGCCCACTCGCTCTGCTCAGTTCTCAGGGCTCTTTATTTACCAGAGGAAAATGAGGTTTCTTGCCTACGGGTTCTAGAGAGGCAGATTCACAATGAAAATTAATATGCCACGACTAGTTGAGACAGCAGCCGGAGCAGTACACGGAATTCTCCTAAACCTTCCTTTTAGGGCAGCAAATGGAGTGTTGAAACTGACTGGTAATCCATTAAGTTACATCAGCTCCTCTCTGCAGAGACTTCCACGATGCCTCTTCCCCATGGCATTGTGCTTTTCGAAGGCTTAGGCCAGTCTGGCTGGCCGTACCATGAAAGTAAGAAGAACAAGGATAGGGTCAGTCTGGTTTCATTGAGGACATTCCCTCAATGAAATCAAGCTAACTGTGTAGGGGCTGATGGTAGATAAATGATCCTGAGATGCATTAAGCTCTCCTTTTTATGTTTATTTCTTCAAGTTATTTTTAGCATTACAGACGGTTCCTAGTTAACAAATGGGTTGGGTTCTGAAAGTTCATTTGTAATTTGGCTGTTTAGATTTTGGAACATACTTTCCCTATAAAAAAAATGTTATAAATGGTGATGAGACTCCCAGTCTAGTTCTCCAAAGCCTATTTAACCCATAATGTAGCTAAAATACTGTCCTTTCTCAAGGGAAAAAAAAATTGTTTAATTGCAACATGAGTAATTAAACGAAACAGGGAAAACCATTAGAACTGAGTAAGAAGTAGATTTATGTTCATCTTGAGTGATGCTCTTTGCAGAAAACCTAACTTAATTTAAGAAGAGGCCCTTCTGAGGGCTTTTGGGGAACTGCACAGGATTTATCCTATTAGGGAGAAAGAGGCACTAGGCTGTCCGAATCTGTGGTTACCGAATACTGCATCATGTAACAGGCTCCCTTTCCTGATTTCAGACTCATTAGGAAGTCTCCCCATCAGAATTTGTTTTCCCAAGTGGATTTTCACAGGGAGAAAGCCTCTGGTCAAAGTCCCCGAAGGTGGCCTCCTTGGGGTGATTTTTAAATTCCAAATCAGTAGGTTAGCATATGTCCTTCTGCATGTCCTGGGGACAGCAGTGTTCCAGTCCCACTAACCCTGGAGTGGTGACAGGATCAAGCATTGGAGCTTCTGAACTTAGAAGCCAAGGTCAGTGTACCTGCGAGATCCCCTGAGAGCCAACTGGACAGTCTGTTCCCTAGCAGCACAATCCTTGCTGGGTGTCTTCTTTTAAACCTCATTAGCCAGTTCTCTGAGTAGATAGATGTACGTGGGTCCTGAGTGTCCCACATCTATACCAGGCCATATGAGAGAGTAATCCTTTCTGCCTGAGGCATGCCAGCCTTGGCCAGAACTGAAGGGTGAGTGACTATGCCTAAACAAACATGCTGGGAACACTCCATGGGTAGATTGCAAAAATGATCACAATTCTTTCCAACCTTAGATGCCTGTCCCTTTGCAATGTGGTGTTGCAGTATCTCCCATCAAGAGGTGGGGTCTCTTTGCCCACTCCTTGAATCTGGCTTGGCCATGCCTCCTGCTTTGGCCAGTGGGATTTTAGCAAACATGCCTCAGGAAGAGGTTAGAAAAGCATCTGTGCATGGACCTTGCTCTCTTGCTGCTCTTGGTACCCTGAGACCACCAGGTGAATAAGCCTGAGCTAGCTGGATGGAGGATGACAGGCCACAAAGGACTGAGGCACCTTGGCCAACAGTTGGCCAACCACAGGTGTGTGAGACTAACCCTGATCATCCAGCCACTAGCCAACCTACAGCAGACCACAGATAAATGAGACAGCCTAGCAGAGATCAGCTGAGCCAGCCCAGACCAGTACTGACCAGTCAAACCACAGAACCGTTATGGCTTTAAAACCCCAGGTTTTGGGGGTATTATCAAGCAGCAAAAGCTAACTTACATACACAACTGGCTCCAGTCAATGAAGTCTTCTGATATCTTTATTTTGGAATCCGTGTATGGACTTTTTTTTTGCCCAGACTAAGGCTCGTCTCTTACAAGTGTGGCAAAATACATCTTCTTCCCTCTTTTTGCCTCCTTAATCAGAAATTTAAGTTCGGGCCACTCAGCCCAAACTGCAGGCTCTGAAATGGGTGCTTTGAAAATCATGACATTTTTCAATTTTGTACACACTTTGTGACTGACAGGTGGGTTGTAAGTCAATGAATACACAATCAAACTGTAATTGCGACTTAAGGTACAGGCAAAACCCATTAGCTCAGTACTAACATGCACAGGTTGTGTTATCTCACAATGTGTTATTGTTCCCTGATAATTTATCACAAGGCAAATCACAGTTCTTGTTCATGGAGAAAGCAACAGTCTTCTGGATAAAATCACTTGCAGTCTGGAAATTCACGGTGAAAGGGGCTTGAATGATTCTCCCAACTGAGCCCACTCGGCAAGGCAGCCTTCGATTTTCAATGTGAATACAAGAGGAATGAGAGTTCTGTGCAAAAGCATCCTCTCTCCATTCATGGGCCCCAGAAGCACACAACAGGAGGGGCTGCCACATTGGCCCTGCGGTCACTCACATGATCCCCACGGAAATCCCAGATCATCTCCCCCAAGGGGAGCATTCCTCCAGAGAAGCTGGAGCGCATGGGGAAGATATCATCTCCAGCGTTGTCTCTATGATGACACATATCCACCCCGATAGCCCTAAATGCTCATAAATGTCAAAACCCGGGTGTTTTGAGTGTTGACGATGAAGCCTGCAGATTTCATAGCCCCTTTTGGTTCTTCTCGGGCCTCCGACACAGGCGAAGTCGCTCTGCTTCCCAGCTAGATTTATTTTCAAGGGCTTAGCTCTGAGGGACGATGGGAATGTTTCAGCATGAGTGCTCCTGACCACTAGGAAAAAAAGCTCCCAGTACATTTCACAGACATCAGCGAGGATTCTGCAGAGTCCATTCTTTCAGGAACAAAATTGCATTTTATGAAGCCGTCCCTTTTCTGTTTCATCTGTCAAGCAGGTTTGCTGAGAATAATTTAAATTTCATGCAGCAGCAACTGTGGGGCACTGGGGCTTCCCTTCAGGCCCACAAACAGGCCTGGCAGTGGAGTCGCAGTTCTGCTTCTCAGGAGCACCCTGCCCCTGCGGTCCTGACCATTTACAGCCCAGACACACAGTGGTGGGCCAGGGATGGGATGCCATCCCAGTTCCTTAGCATGACCTCATGCCACATCAGACAGGGGATGGGGACAGGCCAATGCACCTTTCTTCAGCCTCCAGCACCAACCACCAGGGGGGGACAGGTTTCCCCGCAAATGTATGAATAACTGGGTAGACCCAGTCAATGGTTTATCTTTCTAAAATTAACTTTTATCGAGTGCTTACCAAATGGCAGGTAGTGTTTTAAGCTTTTCTATGCATATTAATTTAACCAGTTCTCACATCATCCCCATGAGGAGGATTCTATGATTATTCCCAATTCTTAGAGACAAAGAAACTGAGGTTCAGAGACATACTCAGCTTCTAAGTGGCGGAGCTAGGATTCAATCCCAGTGCTGTCAGACTCAAAAGCTTGAAGCTCTTAGCAGTGGTGAAATGCTGAGTTGACATAACCTTTGGCTTAAATTTTCTCACCTATACCACAGAGGTAAATGTGCCCACTTTCTGGCCTGAAATCTCTTGCTTGCTATCAGCTGGGTGGATGAGCAGATGGAAAAGTTACCATAACAATGCTGCAATCATGGTTACCATGGTGAATGCTCTACCAGGCAGCCTGGAGTGGGAAGAGGAGCTGGCCCAGGCTGGTTCTGATTCTAACTCACTGGGTGACCTTGGCAGGCCACATTTTCTTTGGGCCTCACTACTGTGACCTGTAGAATGAGGGGCTGGAGGACGTGGTCACTCTGCTCCTGTTAGGCTCTTGGAACTTGTGTCCTGGGGAGGCTGCTGATTGGTCTGAGCCATGAGTGTGTGTTGCGGGGCTGGGGGAGCCCACCAGACCCTCCCTGTACTTCAGCAGCCCAGGAGTCTGCTTGTCCAACTGGCCTTTCCTCAAGACACGTGAGGAATCTTTAGGCCACAGACAAATGAAGAAGTAGAAAAACCAACTCAGGCCTGAAGGCAGCAGTGACAGAAAGAATTGTCATCACCTCACCGGCCAGCTGCTGGGAGCACAGCCAGCCTCCTCACCCAAAGAGCCTGGCAGAAGCCGGCCCCTGCCTGGGAAGGTGACCAGGCCCACAGGGCTGGGTGGGGAGGGTGATGGCATGGGATGCCCCAGCCCCCAGGGCACGTGATGTTCACCCTGCGCACTGCCTAGCCAAGAGGGGACACTAAGGCCTCACAGTACTGACACTAGTCCCCCAGTCACTTTCCTCAGGGACAGTTGCTGAGTTTCCGAGGGTGGCTCTGGTCCACATGTGGCTCTAGACCCTTCACCCAGGAAGCCCGGTGGATACATTCCAGCAGCTGTCCCCACACTCTGGTGAGCTCGGACACAGCTCTGCTCCTGGCTTCTACCCGGCCAACCTCGCCCACCCACCCCACCATCCACTGGAGTGCAGTTTCAGCTGTTTCCACAATGGGCTTTCCCTAGAGGAAAGGGCGCCACAGCTGAAAAAAGCTTTAAACTCCCTTCCCTTGGTCACCTGGCTGTTACCAGTCTCGGTCTGGAGCCCGCTAGACGGCCTCTTCCCCCCAGCTCCCTCTTGCCTACGGAGCATCTGGAGTCCCAGCCAAGGGGTAGGTTTGAGATGCTCTTTCCTTTCCTTGCTTTCTTGGGGCCTGGCTGCTGTGTCTTATCTGAAGACCTGCCTTTTCCTCTTGGTGAGGTTAGAAAGGAACACCTTTCAGGCTGGGCACGGCGATTCACGTCTGTAATCCCAGCACTTTGGGATGCCAAGGTGGGTGGATCACTTGAGGTCAGGAGTTCAAGACCAGCCTGGCCAACATGGTGAAACCCCATCTCTACTGAAGAAGAAAAAAAAAGGACATGAACACCTTTCCCTAAGAGGGTAGAGCCTTGTCCCATAGGCCTCACCTGGATGACAGTGACAGCGGTGATAGGAGGAGGTCAGCACCAATATGAGACTCGAAATACCACATGCCAGGTTCTGTCTTGTTCTGAGCACTTCACACAGGTTTTAACCCACACAGTCCTCACAACAACTCTGCTCGCAAGTACAACGACCTCTTCCCATTTTACAGAAGTGACGCCCAGAGAGGTTAGGTAACCTGTCCAGGGTCACTCAGATAGCAAGCGGTAGAAGGGAATTCAAATCCAGGCAGTCTGTCTCCAAAGTCTGGCTGTAGCCACTGCACTAGGCCTCCCCTGCCAATAACTTCAGGGGGAGAGACATTCTTGGGTCATCTGGTCACACTGTCCAGGCCACAGATTTGTTATACACAAGGAGCCGTGAGCTCCCCGAGGGCAAGAGCCAGCCAGCTCTTGCCTGCTCAGTAAAGACCCACATTGTTGACCGGGGAAACCGCAAATACCTGGGCCCGGGCCTGCCCATCAGTTGATGTGGTCTTGGCACGGGGTCAGACACATAGGCTAGGGGACAGGCCTCTGGGTGGGCAGGAGCCAGGCTAGAACGGCGGGAAGGCACTGTGGCCCAAATCTGCCAGGGGTGCTCGGGAAGCCAGCACTGCTGTCCTCCCTTCCCCCCACCCAGTGCTCCTGGGCACCAAGGGACCAGGGCTTAATCCGGGGAATCAAACAAGCCCCTGCAGGAAACAGGCCGGGCTGGAGGCAGAATTCAGTTCCTCTGTTGTGACATGCCAAGGAGCGGGCTGTCCTCACAGGAATGAACTTTCGCCCCCTCTCCCCCTCCTGGCCACCCTGCCCAGTCCTTGCCCCAGCTGTTGTTTTCTGTCTGAGACTGGGTTCCCTTCCTCTCATGTGGCTGTGGTTTGGGATCAGGCCAGTCAAGGATGGTGAATATCAAGCCACTCTGGAGCAAAGCGGGAGCTCTGCAGGCAGCACAGCCCTGTGGGGGAGCCCCAGCACCGAGCCCCTCCACTTCATCCCCCAGAGCAGCCCAACACCATCCCTACAAAGGCATGTATCCTTAAAAGGACAGACACTTTCAAGACGGCCTCCGGGCCCAGCCTCTCTCTCCCACCTGGAGCCCCGAGCAGTCGGTTCCAGCGGCTGCCATTCTCCATATGGCCAACAGCTGGCCCTGCAGAGCGCCTGCCAGATGTGGCCAGCAGGTCCAGCGGCTGGCCCTACTGGGCAGAGGTCACTGAGTCAGACCAGCGCTCGGGCTGGCGCCCAGGGGAGGAATGTGTTTGGCTGGCCTGGGGGCAGCGTGCCCAAATAATCCTCCATCTCCTCTCCCCTGTCCAACATTCTTTCCCTCCCCGCCTCAGTGGGGTGGTGTTTTCATAACAGGAAAATAAAATCAATAAGGCACTGCAGCAAGATGTCAGTGCGCTCCGAGCCAGCCTCCAATAGCTCCATTGTCTCAGCCTCTGCCAGGCTCTGTGGCCGGCAACACTCACAGTTATTAATGGGAAGCAGGGCTGAAAGGGAGTTTTGAAAACCAGGAGACAAAGGCGCAGCACACCTGGAGCGCGGCTTTCCAGCACCACAGCCACCTCACAATGGCCGGGCTGGGGCTCCCCGCCTTTAACTTCTCTGGCAACTTTTCTGAAAGCAGGAAAAGAAAAGCCTAGACACACACACATGTGCACACACATACACTCATGCACACACACACGCATGCAGGCACATACACGCATGTACACGGACACTGCCCCAAGGGGGCTCCTGGGAGGCAGCTCCGAATGGCCAGCAGAGGCAAAGGCAGCCTGCACAGCCCCTGCTCGGTGAGGAAGCAGGATGGGGACCGATGGCCTTCCTACCACAGCCATGGCCAGGGGCCCGGCCCTCCAGGACTCAGGCTGCCTGAGGGGCTCCGAGCAGCCAGCACGATGGAGGACGAGCTCAGCCCAAGGCCAAGCAAGAGCCTTGGCAACACTGTTTTCCACATTCCATTCAGCAACACAGGTTGGCCTCTGTTGCCATTCCCAAGGCTGGAGCCACCTCTTCTGAAAGAAACGGGAATGACCTGGCGCTGACATCCCTGAAGCCAGCTGTGGGGACAAGTCCTGGGTCCTCTGCAGAAAGGTCCCACAGCCTTGGACCAGCCCTTAGAAGGCCTACTGAGCCCTTGCTGTGCCTCAGTGTCCTCAACTGTAAGGCAGGGATGATAAAAGTACTGACCTCACCGTGCTGTGGCAAGGCTCAGAAGAGACAACGGATATGAGAACACGAGGCCCAGTGGTTAATAAAGTGTGGGTTTATCACCCTTTATGACTGTTACTGCTTGTCAGTATCTTCTTGCACACCCAAGTTACTGGCACCCCCAGGGATGCTTGCATGGTCTCAATTTATCTATTTAGGAACCCCATATTGCCATCTTGGAGGTCCACTGTTACTTCACTCATTAATAGCATCTAATCAACATGGCATAGGACAATGAGTGGCCTCAGCACCTGCTTGTCTTCCTACAAGTTAGTCACAGAGAAAGACTTCATGGATAATAAAACCCGCATGAATGCTCGCAAACAGTTTCCAGGCCCAGGTCCTGGAAGGACAAGACTCTGGAGGACTCGGGGCGTGGAGCACAGGCTGCCCCACAGGAGCCTGTGGGGCTGGCCTGAGCCTGCAGGGAGGCAGGGCCCCTCTGTCCGGCTCCTGCTCAGAGATGACACCACATCTTACCTTGGTGGTGACCGCAGACGCAGAGCTGGCCACGAGGCTGGTGATGGCCTCGCTGCTGCCGGTGGTGCAGGGAGCAGGAGCTGTAGCCGGGGTGGGCAGCCGGGAGGGCACCACGGGCAGCGGCAGGAGGCCGGGCCGGACGCTGAGGCTGCTGGCTGTGCCGCCACCGGCCCCCGAGGTGACACTGCAGATGCTGGTGGTCCCATGCGTCCCGTTGACGCTCCATTCGCGGCGGTCCCAGCCCACCCGGTAATCTCTTTCGAAGCGGCTATGGTGCCGGGACATCTCGGTGGGCCGAGGCGGCTTCTCACAGGGAAACAGAGCCCGGACCTGTGGTGACAGGGTGGAGAGAAGGGTGATTTAGGACTGGAGCAGGCAGCGACAACTGACAGCATCCATGAAGCCCCTTCTCTGGGTTCAATAACAGGCCTTCAAACATTAGCTCATTTCAGAGTCACGCTAGCCCACAAAGCATGGATCATTAATTAGCCCCACTTCACAGACAAGGAATACACAATTTGCCCAGGATCACGTGGCCAAAGTAAGTAGGCAGGATTTGAACCCAGTCACAGTTAAAAGTGATACTGTTTGTTCTGCCACATCTCACTGCCCTGAATGACACAAATGTGCATATTTTAATTATGGATGGGACTTTATCCCCTCCCACCCCACCGTGAAAAAAGAGCCGTGAACTCCTCAGGACGTGTTTTCCTCCAACACGTGATAGGATGCGGCCACCCACGTGTGCAGACTCACTTTATAGTGGACAAAGCCCTTTACATAAATCTCTCTTCCTCCTACAGTAGCCTGTGAGGCGGCAGGGCATGGATGGTTCCCAGTTGAGGGTCGAGGGACCTCACTGAGAATAAGTTATCCCTTGAGGTTCGAGTACTAGAAAGTGATAAAGAGTCCAGGATCCCCAGCCTTTAGATCCTAGCTAAATGCACAACTCAAGTCGCAAAGGGTGTTAGCCTCCAGGAGTTGAGTTCCCTTTCATAATCACAGCCCTATGATTTGATCTCGGGCGGCATCAGAGACCCGGAGTACCCTGGCCTCTGTTAACCAGACTATCTCCCACACAGCTCTCCTGAGCCTCTGAGCATAAGGCCCTTCCATGTTGTCATGGAGACCTGGACACACCATGATACTTGGAAGGGCTTCTGAATCACCAAAGATTGCATTTTGCTCAGTATTACCATGACTTGCCTGGTTCCCTGCCCATCCAGGGCCTGGTGTTACTCTCGGTCAAGAACGCTGTAAAGACGCAGGGGAAGCTGTCGGTCTCAGAGGCCATGGAGAGGCAGAGACAGAGGGGAGAGGGCATGGCAGTGCCAGGGCACAAGTGGTGGTGGGTTAGGGTAGGGGTCTGCATCACACCCACAGCCCTGGGCATGGCTCAGGCACAGCTTGGTTGCCTTTGGCCTTTTCCATTCTCCAACTGTTTTCCAGTCTGGGGGTGAGTCCCCGGAGGTCCGGGTTCCCAGCTCCTTTTCCTATCCTGCCAGTCCAGCTCAGCCCTGGGGAGGCACCCTGGAATTGTTGGCCAGTGGACAGACGGGCCACTTTATTTTAAAAATATCTATCTATAAAGCCTGTTCTTACTGCAGACTTTGCACATCCAGACCTAGTTGTCAACTTCTAGTGCCATGGAGCCAGGGCCTGTGCCCAACCCAAGCAGCCTCCTACCCATGTTCTACTTGCATGCTGGCCTGTGCCCTGGTGGCCATCATCCCCTCTGCCAGGCACACTGGGCAGACCTGAACCCACCCTGCAGCCCAGGTGAAGCCTGCAGCCCCGCCTGAAACAGAGCTGACCATAACTTCTTCAGCTGGATGTGGTGTCACTGTTTATTTCACCATTATGCTTTCTGGCTTACACCATGACACAAAAATTCTTTTTAAAAAGTCTATCCAGGCTGGATGCAGTGGCCTACACCTGTAATCCTAGCACTTTGGGAGGCCAAGGCAGGCGGATCACAAGGGCAAGAGATCCAGACCATCTTGGCCAACACAGTGAAACCCCATCTCTACTAAAAACACTAAAATTAGTTGGGAGTGGCAGCACGTGCCTGTAGTCCCAGCTACTCAGGAGGCTGAGGCAGGAGAATCACTTGAACTTGGGAGGCAGAGGTTGCAGTGAGCTGAGATCGCGATATTGCACTCCAGCCTGTCAACAGAGCAAGACTCCGTCTCAAAAAAAAAAAAAAAAAAAAAAAAAAGCCTATCCAATATTACATGGTTAAAAAATAAAAATCCATTCCCTTTTGATCTCCCCACATAAACTTTTTCGGCTGAACTTCTTGATGGCATTGTCTAAACTTAGCTCCAGTTTCCTCGTCCTGTTCACTCTGTGACCTGCTCCGCTGTGGCCTTCGCCCTGGCCACTCCATGGGAACTGTTCTCATTGAAGTCATGGGTGACCTACTCGCTAAATCCAAGGGGACATTTATGCCGCTGTCCTCAACTTCCCTCACTTGCGACGTGGCTGATCTTCCTTGCTTTCCGGAACCCTCCTCTGCAGTTTCTGTGATGCCAGCCCTCTCCCAGCCCTCCGCCTCCCTCTCGGCTGCTCCTTCTCAGTCTCCTTGGCGGGCTCCTCTTCCTCAGCTCATTCTTAAAAAGCTGGGGCTCCTCCGGGTTCCAGATCTCCTCCTCCTCTTCTCCCCGGATGATCTCATCCCTCCATCCCCTCTTTCTGGATAACTCCCAAGGCTACCTTTGCAGCTCTCCTCTCTCTTAAGCACCACCCCCACCTCCCTGCAGCCTGCCGCACACCTTCCCCCAGCTGTTCCACAGGTACCTAAACGCCCAAAGTTGCTAAATTAGCGCAATGTTCCTTCGCCCAAACACCCATCCTCAGGAATTCCCTCTCTCAGAGAAAGCCGCCTCTATCTCCTCATCTCCATTCCCCTGTTCGACAGCCAGGTCTTAGATTCCTCTGCCTCAGTTGCTGTCAAATCTACCCCCTTCTCCATCTGCAGCCACGACCTTCCATCACTGTCTCCCAGTGTCTCCTTATTTCAGTTCGCCTGCCTGCCTGCCTGCCCGCCCCCAGTCTTGCCCTTCTCAGCCATTCTCTACCCAACTGCCCACAGGAGTTTTGCAAAGGGCAAATATGATCATGACACTTTACTTTCCTGCTTTAAATCCTGTCCATCAATATAAGGTTCCAACTCTTCGTGGTGGCCCAGAAGAGGATCTGGGCGGGCTCCCTTTTCTAGCATCCCCTCTCATTCATCCCGTCCTACCCCAGAGACCATGGCCCATCATTCCAAATGCCTTATGGTTTCTGAAGCCTCATGTCCCCTTTCAGCTCAGGGTCCAAGTCCACGCTGCTCTTTTGCCAGGAATGGCTTCCGACCCTCCCCCGGCTACAGCCTATGACCCACCCAATTCAGGCACCAATTCTTCTAGAACCCTGAACTTACTTTTCCCCTTCTGGGTCAGGTGAGAGACTCTCATCCAGTCCCCTGAGCAAATGGTGCCCGCCCTCCCTGCAGCCACGGCTGCTGTCTATCTGCTACCTTGAGAACAGGGTTTGGGTCCTCATTCTCTGTGTGACCCCGGCAACTTGAACAGTGCCTGGCAAAGAAGGGTGTTCAGTACCTGTGTGCTGAATGAATCAATAAACTAATGCTTGTTTTTTCTTCATTGCTGAGCACTTCCAGAGAGGACAAACACATTTGTGTGAAGAGAAAATCTCAGACACAGAAAGAAACGCTGAGTCTCCTGACTGGAAGTTCCACGTAGGTGCTGGAGTAAGAAAACATCCTACCTTAGCCTGGGCGTGGGGGCTCACGCCTGTAATCCCAGAACTTTGGGAGGCCAAGGTGGGAGGATCACTTGAGGCCAGGAGTTCAAGAGCAGCCTGGCCTACATGGTGAAACCCCATTTCTACCAAAAAAATACGAAAATTAGCCAGGCATGGTGGTGTGCATCTGTAATCCCAGCTACTCAGGAAGCTGAGGCATGAGAATCACTTGAACCCGGGAGGTGGAGGTTGCAGTAAGCCGAGATCGTGCCACTGCACGCCAGCCTGGGTGACAGAGTGAGACCAAAGAAAAAAAAAAAAAGAGAAAATGTCTTACAGTCCTAGTAAATCAGACCTCGAACCTTGAAGGACAGGCCTGAATGGAGAATATCTGCATGTCGAGGTCAGCTGGGGCTCACAGTGTAGACGCCTCTCCCAAGGTTCACCTGCCAACAAGGGGCTCGTGATCATCACTGCCTCAGGGACACTGCATCCCTAGGGTTGGATCCTAATGTGGCAGAGAGGATGTTATGTATTCACCACAGTATGTCCTCTTTCTGGGCACAAGGAGGAACTCTCCCAGCTGCCACTGCAGTTAAGTTGGGCTCCTGTGTCTGGAGTCTGGCGGATAGGATGGGTGGGGAGGTGATGGAGACCACTTCCAGACCTGGCCCTTTGCAAACATCTATGACCCTCAGTTCCCTTCGCTCGTCATGGCAACCTTGGAGGCCACATGTTCCAGATGGTGCCACCATCTGATGGAAGAGCGTTTCCCTACGCACACTGGATGTTGCATACTGGGGGCGTGAATCTTTGTTGTGATAAGGCACTGAAATTGGCAGTCTATGTGTTACCTAAGCACAGCCTAGCCTGGCCTGACTGATGTGATAAATCAGTCCCTACCTTCCTACAAAACAACACAACCTCACATATCGCCAAAGAAGCCATCTCCTTCCAGCTGGGGAGGATGGAGGTGAGGAGGGTACGCACTGAGGGCGGCCAGCAACCCGGCCCCTCTGAGACATGCCTAGATGTGCTTGGGATCAGGTCAAAGGGGTCTCCTAGGCCCCAGTAAAACCTCTCCACTCTCTGCCTTGGGGACCACCTGCTGGGCCATGCCATGCCCGCGCCTTACAGTTCTGGTGAATGAAAGCAAAGCCCAGGCCCCAGCACCCCGCACCTCCCACCACTCCCGTCCCCCACCCTGATGCTCAGCTCCTCAAGTCTCCTTAAAATGCCAGGCAGGAGATGGAGACTCCGGGCCTGGAGCCTGAAATCTAGTTGCAGCCTCATTACGTGTACTCAAAACAAAGGTCAAGAATTTGCATGCCAGCCTTTCGGTGAGACTTCATTCCTCAATTTAATTTCCCCTTTCAAACGTCATGAAAGAAAGGAGTTGCACGGTTTACCCTGAGTGAGACGGCACAGTTAAAGGACCAAAGGTGGCAACTTAAATATTTTCTGCTGGGCACCGAGCCAGTGTGTCACAAGGTCCCATGGGCATACATGTGTGCCCAGAGCGGTGTTGAGGGAGGCATCAGGAAATGCTAGTTGTGGCAGAAGGAGGCCTGGAATGGATGAGGTACGTTAGACGAGACTGGTCAAGCAATTACCGACAAAACACATCACAAAGCTTCCTTGTCAAGGTGAGCCCCCTTTCCTGGCAGGCTGCCCGTGAACTGCCAGAGCCTGGCACAGGGCCCTTCACCAAGGGGGACAGAGCAGGCTGAGCAGCAGCCATCCCTTTGTATGGAGGGGACCGTTTACAAAGACACTAGGACTCGAACCTGGGTGGGGTTAGTGCTTTGCTAGCACCTGTTTAAATTACATGCACATGTGAAGAAAATGCTCTAGAGGCTAGAAAAATCTTGTATTCACGGGTGGAAATAGGCCACGCTGAGGTGCAGGGTAGAGACAGTTTGGTGCTAGTCGTGGGTGAAATGTGAAAGGCCTCACAGGTATTTTATGTGCCAACTTGGCTCTGGCCTTTGGGATCTTGCAGGCAGCAAAGCCGATGCTGGCCAGGAGACGGGAGGGGAGGAGGGCAGAACCCTGAAGTCTTTCTGTTTTTTTTTTTTTGAGATGGAGTCTTGCTCTGTCACCCAGGCTGGAGTGCAGTGATGCAATCTCAGCTCACCGCAACCTCCAACTCCCAGGTTCAAGCGATTCTCCTGCCTCAGCCTCCTGCGTATTACAGGATTACAGGCACCCATCACCACACCCGCTAATTTTTGTATTTTTTTTGTTTTTTTTTTGGTAGAAATGGGGTTTCGCCATTTTGGCCAGGTTGGTCTCAAACTCCTGGCCTCAAGTGATCCGCCCACTTTGGCCTCTCAAAGTGCTGGGATTACAGGTGTGAGCCACCATGCCTGGCCTCCTGAAGTCTCCCCTGTGCACAGAGCCTGCCAGTCAACACCACGCCTGCGCCTCCGCGAGGGGGGTCATCTTCGTAGCAGTCTGGGACAGACATCAGGCTTCGGTTTCCCAGCTCTGAGCCCAGATTCAAGTCTGGAGCCTGGACACTGCACACACAACTTAGGAAGCCAGCTCAGGCTGTCAGGCTCCCCGCTGCCTTCTCTGTGATGCACCTCCCCACCTCCAGGGAGCAGAGAGGGGAAGTGGAAGACCTCCTCACAGAACCGGAGCAAATGTGAACAAGGGAGGGAACACGTCACTGGGAGCTCCTGACAGGCAGAAGCACTTCTTGGAATGTTCGGTCATTGATCCTGCTGCAATCCAGTCCCCCCTTCAGAGCCACATGCTGGCGTCTCAATGCACACAGGTGCACCCCAAACCTTAGGACAAGGTCCCCCAGCATCACCAAATGCAGCAATGCCACATCCACCAGCTCTGGGGAAAATCCCAATGGTCAAGTGCAACTGCCTCACAATTCGGATCATCTCTCAGAGGAGGTGGGGCAGAGGCCAGCGCTGGGGTGTGCCCAACAGCATCCCCGGCCCTGCCAGAAAGGTCTTTCCCTCCCATCACTTATCTCCAGGAGACGGTGAAGGGTGTATTCCTGCCATCTCCCTACTTCTGAGGGATGAGGCGTGGGCTCACCTGCTGACTCACCTGCTCACCAAAAAGTGTCCTCCACCTGACAGAGCCCTGACCTCACACCTCCACAGACGAACCTCCCCTCAGGCTGCCCGTTCCTCGGGAATGAATGGAAACTGGCCACTTCCTTTCCTGTTGGCACATGGGGCCAAATCTTCAGCATGGTCAGCATCATGGGGTGCCAGAGCACCTGGGAGAGGCAGGAATGAGGGATGGGCCACCCTGTCCCCAGGGGCTCCTTCTGTTCCCTTGCAGGAGGCAGGTGGGTCTTAACTAGGATCAAAATAAAGATGACAAAGTAGCCTCAGCCCCTGACTTTTGGCTCCCTCCTAAGGCTTCTCCCACTGCCTGTCCCTAGAACCCTCATGTCTCAACAGGAACTGGGCAGGTTTACTGGGATGAGGAAAAAGACACAGTCAAATCCGAAGCAGTGTGTGTGGCCTGGTGTCTGCAAACATGCACAGCTCCCGAGGCCCTCTGTGCTAGGTCAGCCAGGATCCTGTAGGGTGGTCTCACTCAGGGACACTGGGAGACACAAGTTGAGGGGGGGGGGGAGGTCATCCTCCATAAATACCCACGACACAGGGGACCTCGTGTCACTAGCCCCAGGGCCTGCCTTGATGGAAGAGCTTCTCCCTGTGGCTCAAGTGCCCTCATGTCCCAGGCCCAGGCTTGCAAAAGGCTTGGGCTACCTGGGGCCTGAGGATATTGCAGGAAGGAAATCCTGGTGCCCCAGGCCCAGACTGTGTTTCTAATTGCTCACCAGCTGGTGTGTTGGGGGGCGGTGTCGGACTCCTGGACACTTGCTGGAGATCGGATCGGCAGCCCTGCCACGCAGACCCACCTGGAAAACCCTCACCATGAATAATTCATGAGTAAATAATTAAGAGTCGCCATGAGCCTCTGTGTGTTTGCATTGTCCATGTGGGGCTGGAGCAGAGGGAACAGTGTCCAGCAGCCCTCAGCCCTGGGCCCGGAGAGTGCCTGCTCAGGAACAGGATGCTTCGTGCACCTGAGCTCATGGGCGGGATGGAGGCCATCTGTGTCCGGTGACACACAGTATTCTGGCTGCTGGTGGCGGCCCACACATATTAACATGCACCATGTGTACACACTGTACACAGGATCACAGGTGGCTAATGACCCTTTCCTCGTTCCTATCATTAAGACACGCCGAAGGAGTGGGCGGCCGGCTGTGAGGGCCCCGAAGGCATGATTAATCCACAGGAAGGCAGGGGACCCGCGCTGTCTCCAGATAGGGAAGCCGAGGTGGCTGGCTGAGGAATGAGCCTCGGCCCGGCCGGCCCCGATCAGAAAATGTATGATTGCCTCATTTGGGGGAGACGTGCTGCCAAGTCGATTGGAACAGTCTGTGCTTGTCTTTATTATTTTAGTTTCCCTTTCTGCATCTTTTAGCCTTTCTTCTGGAGCAAAATACTAAACAGCAGCCAGAACACCATCTTGGCAAATGCAACACAAAGGAACTCTCTGGGTGTTTCTGGAGAGGCGGCTTGGCCACGACTTGACGTGGATGTTAGCGGGAGGTGGGGATGCCCTTCGGAAATGCCTCCCTGCCTCCTGGGGCTGCTCCAGCCCCCAGTGACCCCCAGCCCCATGGAGCCCCCATTAGCTCAGAAGTCTTGCTTCTGGCTGAGGCTAGGGGTGAGTCCCACACTGGCCTCCTCTGCTGGATGCCTTCTTTGATGCGCCCTCTCTTCTCAGAGCCCATAGAAGCCAGACTCAAAAGGCCTAGGACCCCAGCGACGGACTGGCATGTTCTACTCCCTGTGTGAGTTCTGATCCCGTCCCTAAAGACAGGGCCACCTTTCCCCCTTCGTTTCCTCCACTGGAGCTGCCCGAGCACAGGGCTGGGCATCCGGGGCAGGGGGCTCAGGGAACATTTGGCAGACCAAAGTGACCCTCCCAGCACGGGGCACATGGCGGGGCTGGGACTAGGCTGAGAAGAGTGACAGGTGGGGCCAAAATGTATGGAGGCCCCCCCATCAAGGTCCGTCTGCATTTATATTGCCCTGAAAGAGATGAGTCCTTAAATTACGCCTCACCATCTAGCCCTGGCCCTTCACACAGCCTCTGAGAGTGACATATTCCTCAGGGGGTGAGGTGTTCGGCACCTCCAAGTGGACATGAAATGTGGGGTTTGCAGGGGCCACGTGTAGGTGCCAGCCTGGACCCAAGGCCTCACATTTAAATCTTCTGAGGCAGCAGAAACCCAGGAAACTCTGGAGTGCCCCAGGCTGATGCCAGCCTTCTCCTGTTCCACTCTAGGATGAGGAACCTAAGGTGTGGATTTATTTTTAGCTCCTTTTCTTAAAATATCAAGGCCCCAGGTGAACTGAAAGGTTCTCGTTGCCACATTTCCACTCCCATCCTGGCCCCCAGTCCTCACCAGCCACCTCGCCATCAGGCCCCACTCAGCCAGGGCCAGTGTGCAGACCACCTAACCAGGTCCTGTTGCTTTGCAGCCAGAAGTTTCCAGCAGCATCTGCTGCAGGGTCCAGGGTCTGAACCCAAATGAGCAGCATCTACCAGGATCTCCAGGCTGGGGAAAGAGGGGAGGCAGGGATTTGACAAGTCCCATTAGAAACCAGAGCCGTGGCCGGGAGTGGTGGCTCATGCCTATAATCCCAGCACTTTGGGAGGCCGAGGTGGGTGGATCACTTGAGGTCAGGAGTTCGAGACCAGCCTGGCCCACATGGTGAAACCACGTCTCTACTAAAAATACAAAAATTGGCTGGATGTGATGACGGGCTCCTGTAATCCCAGCTACTTGGGAGGTTGAGGCAGGAGAATCGCTTGAACCTGGGAGGCGGAGGTTGCAGTGAGCCGAGATTGTGCCATTGCACTTCAGCCTGGCGACACAGTGAGACGCCATCTCAAAAAAAAAAAAAAAAAGAAAAGAAACCAGAGCTATAGCCGTGACCTCTGATGTCTGCTTCCACTCTGGGGACCACAGGTGGCATCAATCTCTGGAACCAAAGGCTTTAGGGCATTGTCTTTATATTTAAAGAAGACAGGGAGCCTGCTTTCTCCAATGCCAGTGAAACCTGCACATGTTCCCAGGTCTCAGCCAGTCCAAAGCTTTGAGGGAAGAACGTCTGGCAGAGCTGAATCTTCCTCAGCAGCAGTGGGTGCAGCTGGTCCCAGGGGTAATGGGAAGGACCCTCACCCTAAACACCCCACAGTGGCCAGGACAGCAGCAGCAAGTCCTCACCCTTCACAAGGCTCTTCTTTTTTCTTTAACTGCTTTATTGAGGTGTGATTGATGTACAAAAAGCTGCAGATATTTAATGTGTACAACTTGATGTGTTTGGGAATATACCCATCCCCCAAACCATCAAACCATCATCACTATCAATGCCACGCGCACAGCCAGCATGGCCAGAAGTTTCTTCTGCGCTCTGCTCCTGCCTTGTTTTCCTTTTGTAGTGAGAGCACTTAAACGGGAGGTGCTGGTCTCAAGACACGAAGTTTCAGTTACACAAAGCCAAAGAGGATTTGGAGAGCCCCTGTAACAACACAGGACCCGTGATTAACAGCACTGTGGTTGTGCTGTGTGCTTCAGCCTTTGCTCAGAGGGGAGGTCTTCTGGGAAGTGCCCTAACCACACAAGGTTCTTTTAGAGCCACTACATCATTTGCCTCACAACATCCTGCTGGTGTTAAGCAGTCCAGCACTGACCTTCGCATTTTATAACCCAGGAAAAGCAAGAGGGTGAAGCCCAGGGCTGGGCATAGTGGCCTATCTCCTCCCTACTCAAAATGTGGTCCATAGTCCAGTAGCCACAGCATCGCCTGGGGACTTGTGAGAAATGCAGAGTCTTGGGCCTTGCCCTGGGACTACTGAGTCAGAATCTGCATTTTTAACAAGATGAGGGGTGGGGAATGGGACAGGATCCACTCACATGCAAGTTAAAGTTTGAGACGCACCAGCCTAAGATCTGGCGAGTTAGCAGGCCTGGATTCGGCCCTAGGATCCAGGCATTCTGACTCCCTAGATGGCCCTGGGGGACAGATATATATTTGGAAAAAGCCATATTCCATAATGACAGGGCTTAATACATGATCTAAAAAGACAAATGTTCAAAATGCTTTTCTGGTGGTTAAGTTTCAGGAAAAATGCCACCGATTCCATTTCTGGGCACCATTTCTTGCACAAAAAGCAATCTCCCTGTCTTGGAAAAGCAGTACTAGTGCCCGTTTTAGATGAACAATATTAAAAGAACAAGCCTCCCATTTCCCTCCCTTCCCATGTGCACCTTTGCTTTGAGAAAATCTGGCCGTGGGTTTTGATGTAGTGATTTTTTTTTCAAAAAAGCACACACGATTCAGAGACTTTTCTCGTGGGACTAATTGACTAGGCATTTGTGCTATTGCTCCTGGTGTAAATCATTAAAATGGTGATAATGAAAAATAAAAAAGATACTGGAAATGACAGTTGGCAACACAATATCAGCGTAAACTGAGGGAAGAAGGGAGGCGTGTATAAATTAGGAACTTGTAAACATCAGGATCGATGAGGGAGCTGTGGTGGCTACCATTTGATTACGTAGAGGAGCATCAACCAGAGTTGTCATTACGAATAACCAATGTGGCTCCTTCTAACTGCTTGTTCTCGTGGCTCCACAAGGACGCAAACACTGAAAACTCCAGCCCCGTTTCCCTGTAGTCCTGCAAACACACGATCCCAGTCTTTTGAGATGGATTTTGCTGTAACTTTCCTTCTCCAAGCAGGCTTACCCCCTCCCAGGGCCGCCTCTCAGGCATGCCTGATTATTCTAGATCTTGCAGAATTGACTAATTCAACAAGCTCCCTCTTCACAGGAAATGGTGTTCATCAGTGGCCCAAGCTGATGAATGAATCCTACTCGGTGCCTGGAGCCAGACCCAGTGGCAAGAGTTGCAAAGAAGAAAGACTGATGCCTTCTCTCTATTTGGCTGCCAAAAATGCTCTTGCAATTTGCTTTCTTCTAGACAAGAGTCTATTCAAAAGTCTATTTGGAAACATTAGGGAACGGCTGTCACATGGCCGGCAGATCATACTGCCTGTGACAGGATAT
Source organism: Homo sapiens (assembly GCF_000001405.40). Lineage (NCBI taxonomy): Eukaryota > Metazoa > Chordata > Mammalia > Primates > Hominidae > Homo > Homo sapiens. Next base: position 23,550,597 of record NC_000002.12, on the reverse strand, counting down.
TATCTTCCTCGGGAGAGACTCGACCACTCTTTTATTTCACCGAGTAACTAGCATCTGGGTTGACGGCTGCGGAATTGCTCCGAGGGCCGGGGACATTAACATCCCTGTCCGGAGTGAATGCAAAACCGACAGCCACTTCAGTGAGCAGGATTTGTGGAACGAACCTTTCACCAGCATTAAGCACCAGTGCCCACCTTTCTGGTCTCCATCTCTAGTGGGACCTGGGGGGCCTCCTGCTTGTCCAAATCCCTCCCCAGGAAACCATGACGTAGCCCACTTCCTGTTCTGGCGCTCCACTCCATGAGTCAGGCCTTCGTGCCCCCCTTTCCCTCTCAAGCAATTCCCCAGGCATGCCCTTGGGTTAATGCACGATCTGCCCTTTTCTCATCAAATCATGTCAAGTTCACTGCCCACCTCCTTCCCCATTATACCCGGCTCAGTGCAAGATACTGAGAGGAAATAAGAACAGGGCACAGCTCCTGCCTTCAGGGAGGGAGGGCTGTTCAGGAGGGCACAGCCATAAAACGGAAAAACACCCTGGGGGGCAGGGGAGGGACCACGCTGGGCTGGAGCAGGCAGGGTAGGCCAGGGTAGACCCAGAACCCCAGGGTGGCCCAGCTCCCTGGGGTTCCATTCATTTCCCATTCATCAGAAAGGAGACTGCGTCTTAGCTAGGACAGTGTCTAATTAAGATGGGTGGCGAAAGGCAGCACAGCCAAGGATGGCAGTCCCAGCTCTGCCCGCCATGCAAGCAGCCTGCTGGCTCACCCCCAGAGCCCCTGCTGGCTGGCCTATAGCCCATCTCTCCCCGACAGAGGGGATCTCCGGGGCCTTGACTTTGGCTTTGGGAACTAGAGGTTCACACTGCCCACTGGAGCTTCCTCCAGGATCAGCAGCGACCCCCAAGGAAGGGGCGTTTTTGGTCACTTGGGAGAGACTTTTGTCCTCTGTTCCTGGCCACTGAGCCCTGTTTTGCCCACTCCCCTGCTGACCTCAGTACCAGGCTGTCTCCAACCGCACAGCCTTCTTTGTTTTGAAGTTGGGAGCTGCTACCCTATCTTGATGTGTTTGCTTCAGATTTTCATCGTCTTTATTCTATGTCCGTGTTTTTAATTTAATTTAATTAAAAAAAAAAAAGAAGCCCAGACCAGAGGGCAGCCTGTTGCGAGGTTGTGTGTTTTATCACCACCCAAGCATGCAAACGAGGCAGCCTCTGTTGACAAGTTCACATCTCCAGTGCAGAGCTGGCTGTTTGAACAGCTTGTGTGCAGTAATTGAAACATAGATTTTGTTGCCTTTCTGTTTATTTTTAGATTAACCAAGCAGGGATACTTTGCTTCCAGGCTGCCACTTCCACCCCCGCTGGGCAGCCTGGGACTGCTGGCCCCTTGCATACTGGCAGCGAGGAGCACCACACCCCGCTGGGGTCCTCCCCTCCTGATGTGTCCTTTGCCTGACTCAGAGCAAGGGTGACCTTCCCTGTGACCTCCAGGGCCCAAGGCGGGGACGCTGATGAATGCAGTGCTCAGAGGCTGTTCCCTAACTCCCAGGTCTCTGAAGACATCCCCCTACCCACCTTGTTGGACTCTCTCCCAGCAGCTTGGGGAGGCAGGCGGGGAAGGGATCAGTGACCCCCTTCGACAATGGTGGTAACCGAGTCTCAGAGCCTTAGGACAGAGACGAATTAGAATCCAGATCTTCCACTCCCAGGGCAGGGGGGCTGTAACAGAGGAGGGCCCACATAGCCCCCGGAAGACTCAATCAGGGTCAGTTTTCTATTTTAGCCGCTTAAAAATAATGATGGTTGCATCAGCCTGGATAGGTAGGTGACGCTATGATGCTAAACAGTCCCCAAAACCTCAATGGCTTCGGCGAGGTACGCTTTTCACTCATGCCACGCACTCACTGCTTGCCACGCGCTCACTGCTGGTCGGCTGGGGGCCCTGTGCCAGGCCATCCACTCTCTAGGACCCCGGCTGTCAGACTGGCCACTGTGGCAAAAGGAGAGATGGGTTGGCGCATCGCACACTGGCTCTCAAGGTTTTCACTTGGAAAGCATGTGTCCTTTCTGCTCTGGTGTCATTGGCCAAAGCAAGCCATGTGGTCACGATCTAACTCTAAGTGGGTGGGGACATGCAACTCTATCATGTGCCCAGAAAGAGAAATGGTTTTGGGGAAAAGACAGTGAGGGAAGAGGGTGCGTGCATGTGTGTGTCTGTGTGTCTGTGTGTGCCTGTGTGTGTGCCTGTGTGCCTGTGTGTGTGTCTGTGTGCTTGTGTCTGTGTGTGTGTGTGCCTGTGTGTGTTTGTGTGTGTGCGCCTGTGTGTCTGGGTGCCTGTGTGTGTTCACAGGGTCCCCAAGCTGGGCTGCATTCTCCTCTGAGCCCTGCAGTACCCCTGAATTCATCTTAGCAAAATTCCTTTGGCATTCTATGATTTTTCTCTTTAACCCCATGAGGTTGGCAGCTCCTTGAAGCCACGGCCTGCCTGCTCCTTATCTCAGTGTCCCCAGGGCCCTGCCTCGGCTTGACATAGTCCGGGGGTTCCACTGATGTCTGCTGAGCTGAACTGTCCCAAGACAGGGTGTGTGAGTGAGAAGGATGTGGCCACGCACACAGGCCTCAGACCACTCTCTTTTCCCAGTGGCATAGCGCCACCTCTGTATTGCTGGTGGCCTTACTCTGTGCCTTCACCTCCTCCTGGAAGCCTTCCTGGACCACCTAGACTGCAGAGATTGCTGCTCCTGGCCTCATCCAGCACTGCTGTCTTCTCACTACAGAGCCTGTGAAATGATGGCCATGTAACTGGTTTCTGAGGCTGAACTCAGCAGGATGTAAGTAGCAAACAAGTATCTTTTCCTCCCGCTACTTCTTTTCACATGCACTCTGTTAGGCCCAAATAGCATTTGGGGTTTTTCTCGGGGGAGGCGGGAGGGGTGGTCACTTTTGGGCACGATGTCTATCGGTAGAAGTACTACTGCTGCTGTCACAACTATTGCTACTGCTACCACTTCTACTACGGAAAGCGAACACTTTCTGGGCACTTACTGTGTGCTGGCTACCGTACCAAGGGCTGTGCATGCACCAGCTCTTTTAATCCCCAGGTACTTTAATTGAACTGAGGCAGGGAGGGGTTTAATTAACGTAAAGGTTTAAGTGACCTGTGGGGCCACAAAGCTAGTAAATGGCTAGGTCAATCCTAAACATGATCACATTCTTGGTCTCTCCAAAGCCCAGTCCAATCTTTCATCAGAACTCTTATCATATCTGGTCCACAGCCTCTCCCCTCTGCCCCAGCTCTGGCCGGACCCAGGCTCGGAATCGGGTAATGAGAATGGCAGCATCGCCCTTCTCTGGTTTTGCCTCCTTCTCACTAACTGCTGCTTCAGCCTCCCCAGAGTGGCCAGGGAGCGGGGCTGGGAGCACAAGGGCAAGGTGTGAGCAGAGTGATGTAAACGGGCAGAGACAGCCTCCGTGTGCAGAGACCCGGTGCCGGCCCTCCTTCCGCTGTGGCACTGTGGTGGGTTCTCTGCGGGAGCTCCACGAGGGTGTGTGCTCTGCTGGAAATGCTCCCTCAGGCGGCTCTGATGGTTCACACCCTGGCAGGCTGTCCTCCTGGGCAGGGTCTTCCCAGATGGCTCAAGTCTGTCTCCCTGTGCAGTGTCCACTCTGGACTCACAACCATAACTCTCCCTTGATGACCAACTCTGGTCCTACTGCCACCAGCACAACCCTCGCTCTCCACTGCATGTTCCAGATATCCCCGGGAGCCTTTTGCATCTGGACACTTCCTGGTAAGATTCAGGCACAGCCTTGGTGTCCCCCAAATTCCAAGGAACACAGGTCACATCCTTCTAAGTGCTTGGGGTACCCCAGTCTTGGGGTAGCAGCAGCTCCCACAGAGTACTGGTTGAGGGGCTGGTAGAGTGGGGAGCTCCTCCCCGGGAGAGGGGGAGAAGCCTCAGTTTCCCTCCTAGGCCAGCTCTCTTCTAGGATCGCTGCTCCCTATAGTCAGCCCAAAGCTTTTCTCATGGGAGTAGAGACGGGCCCTGGGGCTGTCTAGCTCCTCTTTCTAATGTGGGGGTGCCGGATACCTTTCATGCACAGCCTGGGGCCTCACCTGAGGCCCCAAAACAACAGGAATAGCTTTATTTCACATCTTGATATAAATGATTCACTCCTCCTCCAGCTCAGCTCTTGCCTCCTCCATGAAGTCTTCCTGATGATTCCAGGTCACTCTGCTGCCTCATCCCTTGGCCCCAATCTTTTCTAGCCCTCATTCTGCAGGGTCCCCTGTATCTGATGACATACTAAGCTCTGAAAACACACTGCATTGGCCACCCCTGCCAGTTGCCTGGGTGGAAGCCCTACTCACACCCATCAGTCACATTCCCTGCCCACAGTCACATGTGTGGCTGCACAGAGCCCAGCCTCAGGCAAGGGAGTGGGCACCCTAAGGACAATGGGGATGATGGGGTCAGGGCCCCTGAGAGGGTCTGGAGAGCTGTCTGCAGGCCAGATCTCAGCTGCAGCAGGCCCTGGGAGAGGGAGGGAGACACCATCTGCTCTTGGCTCAGCCCAACCCGGTCTGTAGGCACAGGCAGTCCATTTACAGAGGGCTGGCCCTGCAGCGGCACACAGAGCAGGGCTGACACCCACTGTCTGGGGCTCAACAAAGGGGTCTGCAGAGGACTGGCCTTGGATGAGGCGGGAGGAAGGGAGTCCAGAGAAAGCTGTGTTCCCCACCTGAGGCTGGGGGGACTCTGGTGTCAGATGCCAACCTGGCACCATCAGGATGGCCTTCAGGGGCTAGAATAAAAGGAACTCAGTATTTTTCACGCCCGAGAAGAGGACTGGGCTGGCACCCACTCCCTGGCTACAAAGGAAATGACTCGTCCCCAGGAGCAGTGTAGCCGGGGCCTAATCACCCCATACTCCAGGGCCTCCTGCCTAGAGGAAGTGCCTGGCAAATTTCACTATGAAATCAGAGATGGAGATGCCAGCACCCCCTTTCGCTTACCACGAGGTGGTGCCTGCATCTCTCTCCACACCCCTGAGCTCTGCGGGTGTCAGCCTCCTGGCCTGGGGACACCCCACCCCGAGGACGCCAAGCCTTCCTTACCCAGCTGCAAACAGGCAGCAGAAAGGGGAAGCAGGGAGCATTTACGGAGCACCGACAGCATGCCTGCTACTCTGCAAGTCACTTAAACTGCGTGTGTCATAGCACTGCCTCCACTTTATAGAAGGGGAAACTGAGGCTCAGTGATGCGGTGGCTTGCTCAAGGCCACTTGGGGGAAGTGGTGGTGCTTGGAAGGAGGCTCTTGTGCCCGACTCTGAAGCCAGTGCTCTTCTTTCTCTATCTTTTCCTGGACTCATGACCAGCCCTGGCCTGCAGACCTTTCGTCTCTCACTCACAAATGCTTCTTATACATTCAGCCTCCTCGGCTGGCAGCTGTGTTTCCTCCTAACACCAACCACTTCTTCCCACGTCCACCCTGGCCTGGGCCTCTGTCATCTCTCAGCTGGATTTCTGCCACAGCCTCCTAAACACGTCTCCTTCCTTCCTTCCTCACCCTCATTCAGAGTATTCTCCACCCAGCAGCCAGAGTGATCCTGTTAAAACACAAGCCAGATCATCTCTCCCAAGTCCCTGCAATGGCTCCCATCCTACCCTAAGAAAAAGCCAAAGGCCTTCTTCTTAAGACCCATGAGGCCCTGGTGCTCACTCCCCTCTCTTGTTTGGTCTCCCCCTGCCCCTCTGTTCCAACATGCTGGCCTCCTTGCAGCGGCTCCATCACTTTAGGCCCCATTCTACCTCAGGACCTTTGCACACACTGCTCCCTGTGCCGGGCCCATCCTCCCCACTATCCACACGGCCAGCGTTCTTATTGCCTTCCAGCCTCTTCTCAAATGTTGCCTTCTCAGTGAGGCCTTCTCTGCCCATCCTATTGTAAAATGGCAACTTCTTTCTCTGCTTTCTTTCCCGCTCACTCTCATTGCCTTCTCTTGGCCTATATAGTTTACTTACTTAGATTTCTGTGTGTCCCCTCTCTGGAGTGTGAGTTCCCTAAGGGCAGTGCTTCTAAACACAGACTCATTTAATCTACATAACAATTCTGTGAGGCAGCTGTTCCGATGGCTATCTCCATCTTCCAGATTAGGAAACTGAGGCACAGAAAGCTCAAGCAATTGGCCCAAAGTCTCCCAGCTAGAAAGTGGCAGAGGAGGATTCACGCCCAGGCAGCGCAGCCCCGGAGACCTGCTCTCAGGCACCACAGTCTCCACCTGCCAGCTCGGTTCAATGCTGTATCTTGGCCCAGGCAATACCCGGCCTCTGGTAGGGCTCCGTAAATAACGAGTGAATGAAGCACGCTGCAATCCCACATCACCGTGGTTCTCGTGCCCGTCTTCTCTCCCCACAGACGGGCAAGATCCTGGACTCAGGCCTGTTCTTCCCTCCTTCCCTGCCCCACCCACCAGACTGCCCCTATCTGATGGGGGCAGCATCAGTCAGGTTATGTCAAAGAAATGAATTATTCCCCTGGGTCTTAAAGCGGTTGCTTTTGCCAGCGGCCATGGGGAAGGGGCAGTTCAGGCCAGTTGCACAAATGTCTCCTACTCTCCCTGTCCAGCAAGCCCCGACCCAGAGCCCTGGAGAGTCCACCTGGTGGACCTGGGAGATGACATCACCAGCCCGGGGTGGGCAGGCTTGCCAGTTCCCCCAGCCCCAAGCATCCTATTCATAATGCACCAGCATCTGGAGTGGTGGAGGGAGCAGCCAGCTCTCCCCCAGGAGCGTACACATCCACGACGCAATTCCTCCGAGGAAAATTACTCAGGCAGCCATTTATTAAAACACAACTGCTCCCGAGGAGGCCTTTCGGCAGTGGAAATACCAAATAGCTTTGAAGCTCCAGCCGTCCCAGAAACCGATGGAGCAGGCTCCTAGGCACTATCTGACTTCTAATCTGCTTGTTCTTTCCCCCATCTGGAAGGTCTAATGAAACGTTACACTGCAAGGAAACACGGAAATCAGTAACTTCAGAGGGCAGGGACATAGATTTCATTTCTTGCCTTGGTCTGCTATTTGCATAAACCTCAAGGGAATATCCGGGAGAAGAAACAAGAAAAATAACAATATCCCCCTACCTACTGGGGGTCAGGCACTGTGCTTGAAGAATGATGACATTTTACATTTAACCCTCCCGCACATCCCGGGGAGGGACTTTTCATCACCATCTCTGTGGCAGAGGTCGCCGGCGCTGCCCATGTCTGTGCCCTCCTCTTTCTTGGGGACCACAGCTGGACAACACTCTCCAGCTCCCCTTTGATTCTAGCTGGAGCCGTGTAATGAGTTCTTGCCGACATGTGCAGAATGTGTGTGCGAGTGACTCGGGTCCCTCTAGACCATGTGGTTAGAGCAGAGATGTCTTCTTCATCTCTCTTTCCCTGTCCACTGCAGAGGAGGATGAGGCGCAGACGGCAGGGACACACTGCACAAGGAGGCTTGGTTCTTCTCGGGCTCCTGGAGCAGAGCTGCTTCTCACTGACCCATCCCACACCGTGACTTGAGAAGGAAGCTACATGATTAAGCCACTACAGTTTGGGGTGGTTTGTTCCAATAGTTAGCCTGCCCCGACTAATGCAATCTTAATTTCCCAGGGGAGGAAGCAGAAGCTCAGACAGTTGGGAGTGACTTGCCCAAGGTCACAAAGAGCCTGGATCCAATGCAGCAGGAGCTGCCTGAGTGGTAACTAGACCTGGTTCCTTCCCCAGGTGTCCCTGGTGAAAGGCCCAGGTGGCTGCTATGAGATCATCTTCCAGGTTCAACTCCCCGGGGCTGAGCAACTTGTAGTTGGTCCAGGTGAGGCTCTCTGAGGGTTCAGGCAGAAGCCTGCCCCTCCTCTGCAAGAACGATCTCTCTCTGGCCTCCACCCTGGGGAGAGAATGCAGGAAGGACAGTGGCTGGATGCTGGCTCCCTGGAGACTGTCCCCTTCCAAATGCCTGACAAGCCCCGAGGATGGCATGTGCTTTGCAGAAAAGGTCAACTCCAGAAAGTAGGAGACTCAGCAATTCCCCAAATAGCCAAACCCTGAACGCGGGCTGTCCCCATCAGAGCACACATGCCCCATGGAAACAGAACAAGAGATAGAGGGAGAGAACCAGAGACACCAAGGTGGGAGAGCTTCCCCAGCAGACCTGGTTATAGCCAACTGGTGAACCCCTGTGCAGATGGAGCCCTCTCATCTGCACAAGCCTCCCTAGGCATCCAATTTTCCAGGCAGGTGGGTCTACTGGGACTAAAGTAAGTCCTCTAAATGCCTAACTCATTTTTGTTCCTTAACAAATACATGTACCGAAAAAGATGCAATTGAAGAGAGGAAGGGAACAGTATTAACCAGGGAAGAAATATAATTGCTAAATTCTGAGAGGCTATTTTAGACAAGAGATCAAAGGGTTGGAAATTAAAAGAAAACAAAACACTGCCACCACCCTGGTTGCCTGACTCAGCCCTTTAGACTTCTTAATGCCATTTCCCAAGGCCATCAGTATGACGACAATGACTTAACAACAGGCAGCACACAGCCCAACCCCTCCCAGGAGAGCTAATTACTTCCCAGGATTAATTCTTCAGTTTTCTAGACAGTTTGAGCAGCTGCACCACTACGGCCATTGCCAGAAACAAGAGCTTCTGGATGGAAGACACACCTACTGTTTCCCAGGATCTGGACTTGGGGCCTCAATCCACAAATCATCTCACACAAGAAGGCACCAGCCCTGCTGCTGTCCACTGGGAGCACCAGTTTTATGGTTTTTTTTTTTTTGTTTTTTGGGTTGGGCTTTTTTAAAAGCTCTTTAAAAAATCCTGTTTTCGATTGCGAGGGACTTGAGAAAGAACGGTGAATGCACTGTGTCCGAGACCAGCAATCTGGGAAGGGTTGCTGCCTCTGACACCCAGATGAGATCACCCTGCATTGCTGGTTAGCTCCTGTCTTACCTTCCAGCTACAACAAAGAGATGCACAGAGCTGCCGCTCACTTTCAGCCCACCAGCCAGCCCTGGCCAGGCACTCAGCACTGTGCTGGGGCTGTGAGTGCTGGCAGAGATGGATTTGGCTGAGGACTGCCCTCAAGGAGCCCATGGTCTGGCAGGGCTGAACCAATCCTCAAGAAGATCTGAGACCATAAGACAGGCAGAGGCTTCTGATGAGCATGGAAGGAAGCCCCTTGAGTTCTGGAGCCCGGTTCTCTCCTCTGGCCTTCTCCATAGCTAGGCATATAACTGCCCATCTTCTGTCCATCTACTTATCCATCCATCCATCCATCTACCCGTGCATCCACCCATGCATCCATCCATTCACGTCTCCCTCCGTTAACACACCAAATATTTGTTGAACATCTGTTCAGATACTTTGTCAGGCATCCAGATTCCTGTCAAGCGAAGAAAGTGAGAAAGGTTCCCAACAGAATTCAGTTGTGAAATCTGCATTTTGTCTGATCCATTCCCTCCTTTATCTGATAGTAGGATCTTTCTTTCCCACAGGGAGCCCATTAGCTATGGCTGGGTGTTGTGCCCCACCCCTGGGGTAAGCACGTGACCAGGCCAGGCAAATCAGGGTGTTCTATCCCCCTGGCCATAAGGATTGAATCAGGGTCCATGACCCAAACAGACCCAAATCCCATAGATACGATATATGAACTCCAAAAACAAAGGTCTCTCTTCCTTCAGGATCATGCCCAGAAAAGATGTAAGCAGGGCCTACTCCTGGCCGTCCTCTCTGGTCATGGGGAGGGGACGGTCTGTAGGACAGAGCATGAAGCTGGCCACAGAGGGCAGTGGAGGAGGGATGGACGAGGTCCAACAGTACATGAGTGACTGAATCTGGCTGTGCTGAAGCCTGAGTTGTGCCTCTCCATTACAAGAGTTAACACATTTTCTTTTGTGCTTCAGTTAGTTTGAGTTGGGTTCCCATCTACTGCAACCAAAAGAGTTCTATGTTCCAGTGTACCCTCAGAGAAGTGCCAAGTTCTGCGCTACTGAAGATGAGGTTTGGGATGTAAGGATGTGTCTATGTGACTCTTTGGGAAAGAGGGAGGATTTGGAGAGAAGGAGAGGAAAGAAAGATGCTCAAGAGGAAAGGACAATGTGGACCAGCACTAGCCAGTACGATTTTCTGCAATGGTGGAAACGCTTCTATGATCTGTGTTGTCCAATATGGAAGCTAGAAGCCCCCTGGGGCTGTTGGCACTTGACAATTGGCCAGCATGATCGAGGAACTGAAGTTTACATTTTATTTAATTGTAATTGATACAAATACTGGCTAGTGGCTACTGTATTGGACAGTGCAGGTGTGGACCACGGCCCCGGCAGAGGAAGTGTGAGGGAAAGTGACCACTTCTGGGGGGCTGGGCAGGTACCAGGGGGCGGGATTGCAGGACGGGAGCCTGGACACAGAAGATCCTGGGGGACATGAAGGCAAATGGCCCAGGCAAGGACTGAGGAGGGTCTAACATGGGGCAGGGGAAACAACTAGGAGCCAGAAACGAGGAAGTTCCAAAGTGGGAGGATGCCAGAGTCAACTCACAGGGCTGGTGGGCGGCACACCTGTTCCCTGAAATGAGGATTACAGAGGAGGATGGAGGTCTGAGGTGGAACGATGGGACGAAGGTTGCTTAACAGAAGTTGGAGCCTAGAGAAACAAGCTTTTGGAGTCACTGGAGTTTAGGGGATAATCGCTCAGACTGTGGAAAGAGAAAAGTATACCTAAGCTAAACTATGGAGACTGCCAAGAAGTGGCTGGAAAAAGAGAATGAGGAAATACAATGTATGAAGGAGTCAGAAGGAGGTAGGATAATGGCCAGGTGCAGTGGCTCATGCCTACAATCCTAGCACTTTGGGAGACTGAGGAAGAGGGGTCACTTGAGCCCAGGAGTTCAAGACCAGCCTAGGCAACATAGTGAGACCCCATCTCTTAAAAAAAATACAAAAATCAGCTGGTGTGATGGTGCGCACCTGTAGTCCCAGCAACTCAGAAGGCTGGGGCAGGAGGACGGCTTGAGCCTGGGAGGCGGAGGTTACAGTGAGCCAAGATCACATCACTGCACTCCAGCCTGGGTGACAAAGTGAGACCCTGTCTCCAAAAAAAAAAAAAAAAAAAAAAAAAAGGAGGCAGGATAAGGCTAGCAAAGCATCATCAGTCTGCTAGGATTATTATTGTCTCATTTTTCTTATATACAGACATATTTTTGAGATAACTGAAATCAATTCCTTTCAACATCCAATCTTAAACAAGAATAAAACATTTTAGCCATTTAAAAGATAAAATATTCTGCAGTACACTGCATACTTCCCAATCTGCTGAACAGAATTGAACGTAACAGAGACACCTAGGGCTGTGAACCAGTACGATCCCCAGGACTCAGGGATCCAGGGTCCCTACACTCATCAGCCCTGGGTGGCTGCCGTGCTTTCTAAGCGTGGATATAAAATTTTAGAGTTTGGCAGTTGCTTCACCTCTGATTAGCTTCTAGCAAAATTTTCTTGCTGGTACGATCTTTCCCAGCCCTTCTCTTCATCCTTGCCAGATCAGGAGTTTGCAGAATTTGCTCTGAATTTGGAATGCATCTAATCAATCTTATAGTCAATTTGTATTTTTTAAAGAACAATTCTGAATTAAAGCCGGAGGGATTGATGATGAAGAAAGAACGAGATTTTGTGTGCACACATTTGGTGATGCCTATTTGTTTTGTCAGTCACTCAGAGATGCCTTCTGTTCTTTCTCTCAATCTAGGCTCCAAATCTCTAGGAAAGGTTTCCAGATCAGTGAGAACTGGTGGAACAAGCAAAGGCCCTGACAATCTTGCCACTCAGAACCTCTTATTCTGAAATAGATCAATGGCACAAATTGTTACACTGTCACAAATGTGCAGCCCAGACAGCTAACAGAGTGACATATTCCACAGTGTGTCCCTCCCCACAACCAAAGATCATTCTCACATTCACCCCCACAAAGCCACAGGCACACTCTTCTGAGTGTTTGGAATGGACGTTTCAGTCACGATTTTAGCTTCCTGTATGGCAGAGAGAGGCTGGGATCTGGGTAGCAAGGAGCTGACAAAGGATGACAGATAATCTCCTTGTTGAGGGTCTAGGCCAAAAGCTTTTAGACATCTTGATAAAGATAAAACAGAATAAGAATGGAGCCAAACAGATAGGAGGGAGAATTAGGAATTCCAGCTTTGCACCCATGCCATCTGGCTTCCTTAAAAGTGAAACTGACGTCAGGCATCTTTGTTTCTCAAAGTGTGGTCCTTAGGTCCAGCATCACTTGAGAGCTTTTAGAAATGCAGAATCCATTGAGAAGGGCTGCCTTACTTGGTTCATAATTCTATTTCTGTGGCCAAAGGAATCCTGGACTACGAGTCAAGAGAAACCCGAGATCCATCCTAGTTCTGCTACTTATTGGTGGTATGAATTTGAGTAAGTCCTTGCTCCTTCTGGTCTGTTTTCCCAAATACTAACTGGGGTCCAGCCAAACGGGCTCAGTGATCCACCCTCGTTCTAATTCTCAAAGTGAGATCTGTAGGTACCCTCAGTGCTTCTGGAGCAACTTTCCTTTACAGACCAGAGCCTCCTTTTTCCTCACACATAAATCATCATGGGGTTTTGGAAGTATTTCCTACTGTCATGAAGGCTGTGGCATGAATCCTGCCACCCTTTGGACACATTCCAAAGCCTCTAACAGCCCAAAGTGTCAAACCAGGATCCAATGAGCTCCTTGAGAACCCAGCCTTCCATCCCTAAGTAGACTTGGTGGTGCCAGCTGCCCTGAGCCCTGCCTCTCCAGTTTCCCACCCGACATGCAGCTTCTTGCAGGTGGCCAAGCTCCAGATGCCCCACATCTCAGCAAAGAGCGATGAACCATCCCTTCCCAAATACCCAGATGGGGCCTCCTACTTCCTTTAGTCCCTGCAGTTCTGTGCTCCAAATTCTGCCAACAGATGAATCCTAGTATCTTGTATGGTTATAACAACTCTGCATTCTAAGCACTAATGCACCTGACATAATATTGGGCATGAGTGGTTACACAGGATGCCTCCTCCCGATCTGCTGGAGAAGCGTGTGCGTGCCTGTGTGTGTGTGTGTGTGTGTGTGTGTGTGTGTGTGTGTGTGTGTGTGTAGTTTCTGCCCACCGCAGGAATCGGCAGCTCAAACTCAACTAGAAGTTACTCGTCCTTCCTAAAGGACTTTCAATGCCCTTCCCTGCACTGTAGTATGATGGAGAAGGCAAAAGGGGGAAGCAGACCCCTCCCACTGAGGCAACAGAGTGTTCAGAGGGTAGCCAGGGGCACAGAAGCGGCAGCACTGCCCATGAAGGGTGGTGGCAGTGGCACCCACCAACTGAATTAGCCGACAGAGCCCGAGAGCAACCAGTGACTGAAAGGGAACTCAGGACAAATGCAAATTCAGAGACAGAAAGTCAGACTGCAAGAAAGTGGCATCCAGGGGCAAGGTGGCGTGGGACCAGAGTAGCATGTGCACCTCAAGTTTCTGCCAAGAACAGGGACGTAACGGACAAAATGGGGATGCCAGCAGGTCCAGAACAGCCCTTTACACCACACCTGAAGGAGAGAGAGCGAGAGAGGGAGAGAGAGAGAGCGAGAGAGGGAGAGAGAGAGTGTGTGTGTGTGTGTGTGTGTGTGTGTGAGATCTGTCTTTCGCTATTTCGTTAGTAGGAAGGGAACCAGAAGTTTGTCTCAGAATGTCACTCTCTTTCCTTTACTATAGGCATGGTACCTACTTATCTACATCAACCAGAACATAAACAGTACAGAGCTTCTTTTCACAGCACAGGCTCGGGCCCTTCCAATAGATTCTTTCTTTGTCCTCCTAACGGCCTGACTGCAGCAAACCTTCACGGAGAGAGATCAGGACTCAAGAATCCAGCAGTATTTTATAAACGAAAAGGTTGGCAGCCCCCTTCACAGGCTGCTGTGCCGAGCTCTCTCTCCTCTGAGCATGGGAAGGGTTGCCTGTGAGTTTGATGGGCCAGGCCTTCTGCCATTCAAAGAACAAATCAAAAATGGTCCCTGAGGCAAAACGGGGAGAGTCAGCCTCCTTTAAACTCTCCACGGCAGGCCTGCTCAGGCCGGCACCAGCCCCCTGCTGCGACAAGTACCCGGGTATCATTCTGAATTACAGGCCAGGAGCCAACCCGCTCTGACAGCCAAGCTGCCGTCCACACAGCGTACTCTAATTTCCGCAGCTTGGAGCCCCTTGGGTCTTGAGGATGGGGTCACCCCAATCATGATGCTGGGAGTTGCTGGGGCGATAAAGTAAAATTCACCCCTCCATCATCAGCTTCAGGATACACGTTGCCCGAGAGAGTCAGATGGGAAAATCAAGTTAAACCAGTGGCGCGATATGTGGTCACCCACCTTTGTCTTGACAAAAGGACCTGGCATTTAGGAAGGATACCTGTCGCTCTGAAAGGGCCTGGCAGTCAGAGAGGGCTTCTGTTTCCCACATTTTGATTCTCAGACCAGAAACCACATCCTCTGCTAAGCAGTCCCCTGAATGATAACATTTAAAATGTTGAAATTTAAGGGGGCCAGGAGGCTGCCTTAGGCCTGGGATTCTTTCGTTGCTCTTCTTTATTCTTTTTATTGTAATCAAATATACAAAACCTAAAACCGACCATTTTAGCCATTTTATGTGTACACTTCAATGGCATTAAGTACATTCTCAATGTTGTGTAACTATCACCACGATCCACCTCCAAAATGTTTCATCTTTCCAAACTGAAACTCTGCCCACTAAAAACAATAACTCCCCTTTCCCGCCTCCCCGAAACCCTGGCACCCACCGTTCTACTTTCCGTCTCTATGAATTTGCTCTAGGTACCTCGTATAAGTGGACTCATACCATATTTATCCTTTCCTTTGTCTGGCTCATCTCATTTAGCATAATGTCTTCAAGGTTCATCTATGTTGTAGTAGGTATCCATGACTATAGCATTCCCTTTCTTTTTAAGGCTAGATAATATTCAATTGTATGTATACAACACATTTTGTGTATCCATTCATTAATTAATGGACACCTGAGTTGCTTCTACCTTTTGGCTATTGTGAATAATGCTGCTATTAACATGGGTATACAAATATCTGTTAGATTTTACATTAATTTTAATCTTCTCTTCTCCTGTGAGAGGCAGGCCTCAGCCTGTGGCCGTGTGAGGCTTGGCTCTGATTCTTTGGAGGCAGGCCAGGGTGAGGTCTCCTGGGAGAGGGTGGCGAGGCACCTGTGTGTGGAGTCCTAGCTCAGGACTTAAAGGGTTAAGTTCCACAAATGCAGAGACTGTTCTGTCTCTTTTCCTCCCAGAGCAATCCTGTGCCATGCTGGCATGAGCTGCATTTCCCAAGGCCACAGGAAGACCACAACAGGCCCCTGTATCCAGCCTGTCTGGTCAGGCCACATTTTAAAAAAATTAACTAATTTTATGGAGATATAATGTCCATAAAGTAACTGTCCAAATCTTAAGTGCACAGTCTGATGAGTTTTGACAAATGCATGCACCTGCCTAACCACCACCCCAATCATGATACAGACCATTTCCATCAGCCCAGAAAGTTCCTTTGTGCCAGACGCATTTTAGCAGCTGCTTTTAGGGCCAGTCGATACTGCTGCAGCATCAACAGGATTAGGGGATCCAAAAAGCCTGCAGGGGGTTCTAGGCTGTGAAATCCAAGATGCCCTCAGCTCTAAGTGACCAGAAAAGGCACTGTTTTTTCTTTCTAATTCTGCAGTTGACTAGTCACCCACAGTAGTCTGTCAAGGGAAGTTTTGAAGCACTGGAGCCTCAAAGAGACTGTGGGACCTCAGCTTCACTCAACAACTCAAAACACATCCACTCTATGAGCCTCTGTGCCATACACAGAGCTGGGCCCTGCTGTGGCAGGAAAGGGGCAGCTCAGTGTAGCTGGAGAGACACTGAGCAGAAGAGAAGGAAGACGGGAACTTGGGCTGGAACAGAAGTTAGCATCTGTGATGCTGCAAAGAAATAAGTCATTCTGGCTAAGGCCAAACAGGAAGGCTTCTCGGAGGTGGGGGCATTCATAGTAGCCTCTGAAAGGACGCAAAGGATTTCAATAGAAAACAATAAAGAGAGGAAAATTCCACGCTGGGAAGACATAATGTGTCAACAAAGGCATTGAGACATAATAACCATCACTTATTAAATGCCTGTTAAGGAACAGGCATTGGGCTAGGTGTTGCACAAATGTGATTTTATCTAATAAAAATAACAATGATGAGAAGGACCCTACAAGGTAAGTCATACTAACTGCAATGTGGCCAAGTGACTTCCCAGGTTCACAAAGCATTGTACCTGGATTCAACACCAGGTCTCATGATCTGAAGCCCCGGTTGTCCTGTTTCCTGTGCTGTGGGAAGAAACACGATAAAATGGGTGCTGCTCAGCGGGATGTCAGACAGGAATCCCTGGTTGCTTGGAAAGGCATCCCCGAAACCGGGGACTTTCAACTATTGGCGGGTCCTTACTTGGTTCAAATATCAATTAAAATATCAGGAGGACTATTACATACCCCAAAAAGAGCTGTGGAAACACCTCATAGCGCACACGTTTCTTTAAAAAAAAAAAAACAACAGACACCATAGGAAAGTCTCATGTATTTAAAATAAAGGGAGTTAATTAGTAAATTTGTTTTTTCTGAAAGCAGTCTTATTGATACAAAATAGCCCAAACCGGGTTCACAAAGGTTGAAAACAGAGTTAGCTTATAATTAGCATTTCAACTGTCCACAAGCGGATCTTCTAGATTGTCAGCACAAGGAAATTCTGTTCTCTTCATTGGCGTAAATGCCCCAATTCTTATTTACACTGTTAGTCCCGGGAGAGTGGGGGGTCCTCACACTGTTACAAATGCCATCACCCAGCCCAAACGCCGCACCCCATCTGCAGCTGCCAGGGAAGGAGCTTTCAGGGAGCTCCCAGGTCTCCCAGCTTTGATCTGCGAGCCAGCGCCAAGGCTCCCCAGAGGCTGCACAGAGCTGCATCTACGACCCAGGGCTCCTTGTTTTGCATCAGCTGCTTCACTCCCGGCAGAGGCTCACGTTTTCTCTGACGCCAAATGCCATGAATCCTGCTGGGCCAGGAGCTACAAGTCTCCACAGGACCCCTCCCTGCTTAGACCATCCCAGCTTTCTTTCCAAAGGGGGTAGAATGCCAGCCCCAGAGGGTGGGGGAACTCTCAGAAAAATACTTCCCTGGATGCAAGAGTCCGCATCAAACCCATGCCCTAGGACTAGCCCACAAGCAGCCACATCAGAAGGCACTGCTTACTTGTGCACACACAGATCTGCACACACTCACACATACGCATGGTTTCTCTGCTGCCTTTGACCCCCAGGCCTGCCGTATGTGTACACCTTTTCCTCCCCCAATATCTCCAAACCACTTTACGTGCTCAGGAAAAACTGAGAGACGCTCTCACACAGGGAAGCCACTGGTTGGCAGAAAATCCCTTGAACTCGTCAAAGACCAGGCCAGGCAGCACCTTCTGCTCCTCAGCTTGGGGGCCTGTGAGTTGCAGAGACGTAGAGGGAACCCTCCCCTCGGCCCCCAGGCTTTCTCACCGCCAGCTGAGCTCCTCCTCTCGGCCCACGTGCACACACAGCTGTGGGGCTGTCTCCCTTCTCAACAAAAGTTCGTCTCTCTCCAGTTGGTAGCCTGGAGCCGGGCCAATCCTCCCCTTACCCTGAACGCGCCTCGATTTGCAGAGGCCTGTGGCGAACAGTCTCCCTGCCCTGATCCTTCTCCCCGTGCAGAGGGTGTAGTGGGTGAGGCTGGGAACACACCTCCTCCCACCTGACACCCACCCCCATGCTGACCCCAAACCACAGGCCTCTAGTGAGCTCCCCACCGCCCAGGCCTCAGTCCCAAGTTAAGATAATCTTACAATCTTGTCACTCCAGTGGTGCATTCTTGAAGGAAGTGTTTTAGCTTCAAAGGAAAGTGAAAGTGAGATTTTAACATAGGAGCAAGAAAAAGTCTAACCTTGGCGATGCACATCCCACAAAGCTCCACTAGCAGGGGCCTGGGTGCCGCCCTGGGTGCTGCCCTGGGTGCAGAGGGTGCGTGGGCTCCCCATTCCCTTCACCAGCTCCCACCGTCTCCATTCTGCTTCAAGCCAAGCACACTGCAAACCAGAGTACTTTTTCTCCTTGCCAGTGAGCCGGTGTTGTCTATGTACTGCAGGAGGAGGCCATTACAGGGAGTTAATAGAGTTTTAAATTTGTTTTTAAATTTTACAATGCACTTCATCAAATTCAGTGTCTGAGCACAGCATCATGTTCAGACCAGGCAGCACATGTCAAATGGCCTCAGCCTTCCCCTCCACCCCTCTCCCACCAGGAAAGGTTAACTCTTTGGAGTAACTCCCAGGCATGGCCCCAGTGGAGCGGGTTCTGGTCTGTGGGGGGTCGTTGTGGAATAGGCCCAGTGGAAAGGCTGCTGACTTATTTGAGATGCTCTGGGCAGCTTCCATGGTCAAGGGCCGTCGAGGCTTCCACTGGGCCTTGGTCGTCCCGTTGAGGTCCCTTACTGAGGTGGCACTTGGGAGTCGTGGCGACTTGGTTCTTTCAGGTTCACATCTCTATGGTCCCAGGTGTCAAAGAGGGTGAGAAAGTATCCAGGGCACAGACGTGGAAAGCAAATAGTATAGTGCAGTCTGCTGATGAGGAACAGATGGGAGCACATTTCTGCTATTTTTCACCCAGAAGGATTTCCTTTAAGGACATGTTCAGCTGAACCTAGGATCATTATTGTAACTTGGGATCAGTTGCTGCGGAATTGGAAATAAGTGAGATTTATGGGCCCACGGTTTTGTGAAGAGCGTCTTGGGTACCAGGACTTGCGGCAGGTCTTCTCTGTCACTAACTGCAGTCAATCTGGCCTTTTATTAAGCTTTAATAAGTGACTCTGGTTCTAGGGAAAGTTCCGGAATAGATATTACTGGCAAGTGAAATCCCGTTGGTCCCAGGGCAGACTGCAATAAAGCAGCTCCGTCCTGGCGGCTCGGAGGCAGGGTCTCAGCTCACTGAGGCCACAGAGCCCCACGAGGGAGGCGGAGGGTCCCCTTGCCAGAGCAATCTGGTAGTGGGTGGGTGGGGGATGGAACTGATGGGGACGGTCGCCTGTTCTTCTCCCTTGAGCATCACAAAACTGAGCCTCACCCCCCAAATAGGTCCCATGTTGGCAGTGGTCTGCTTTTGAAACGTCCCAGGCAACAAGAACCCAACATGCCTGTTTTTGGTTAATGGAACCCACAGGGTGGCTGCACCCTGGTCCCAGCTGTCTGGCCACCACGTGGCAATGACTTTCGCTCACTATTTATTTGAAACTTGTCTGTACAGGTGACGAGGAGGAGACAGGCTTCTCAGCCAGGCTTCTGCCGAGTCCCAGATACAGTCCCAGCTTACCCCCTCTACCTCACTGTGCATCCAGGTGTCAACCTGAACTTTGCACTTCTTAAAACAAACATCCTACAGATAGAAAACGAACCCTTCTGTGAGGCCACACACCCAGTTAAACACCCCACCCTACTTTTCAACTCTGGGGAGACTCTGCCCATGTCTGCATCCTTCCAGACAGAGCTCTGTGCTCTGTGTATGGCTTCAGGTTTTCCATTTCTAAGTTCATACAGACACAAAGCTGGTGGGATGGGGCAAGAACCCTTGGTGGCCTCCACTCTCCTGAGCAGATTCAGAAGCAGATGCTAAGAACTGGGCCCAGGAGGGATGTGGGAGCTGGGGTGGAGCTGGGCTTGGCAGCTGGGCGGGGGCAGGGGATGGGCTGGGATGGAGGGAAGAGCATCTTGAGGTGATGGGAGTCTTTTTGCATTCAAGGGCTTGCTGGCTTCCAACTTGCTACTTACTGCATTGAAAAATATTCCACACGATGGAAGAACTATTTTCCAAAACAAAATGCTAGTATTCATCAGGAGGCGCGGGTTGTGCAGTGTGAACAATTCACTTTCGTTAAGTACCATATGGCCGCTGGTAGGAAAACGCTAACATGTTTCAACAGTACAGCTGGGGGAGGGCTCCTTTATTCACCGTGCAGATGGCTCTAATTGACATCTCTCCTAAAACAGGTCTCCAGCATTTCTGCAGGATCATTAGAGTAATTAGTTATTAAATACCATCACCACTTTTAGAGAGGGGGTCTGATCCTTGGCAACATTCCAGCGTGATGGAACTGACAGGTTGGGAGGACAAGCCGTGGGAGGGCCCATGGAAAGGGCTTACGAGCTCCTCCTCTTCAATGGCAAGGCCAGAAGAGGATAAAGACTTCGCTGATTCCAGAACAGCCTCCTGGAGAGAACTCAGGCACCCAGAGGGCTCTACGCCACAGTACTAGAGCCAGCCCTGCCTCTTTGGCAGTGTGACTGTGTACACCCCTCAACCACCCAGCCTCAATTTATTTATCCCTTAAATGGGGGTAATAGCAACTGCCCTTCCAGCCCTGCAGAACTGAAGCCACATATTGAAGAGCACATGGAAAGAGCCGGACTGAAGTGCCGCAGCTGAGCCGGTCCTGATGGCTGTGTTTGACACCTAGCTTGATCCATGCTCACCACTTTGGTGAGTGACAAGCCGTGGCCTCTCAGGACATGGGCACACCTGAGACTCAGTCCTCGATACTGCAACGGGCAAGCCTTTGTCATGCTGCGACCAGAGCTCAGTCTGCAAATGCGGCCCCCCAGGCTGTCTCAGGACGGGTGGCGGGCTCAGCCCTGCCTCCATGAACCCCAGAGCCAGCCCGCAGGTGGAGGCTGGTCTAAGCTAGGTCCTGTTTCTGTACTAGACCTATTATACTCTACTCCCCAAACCAGCCCTTGAAAACAGCCCTCACACCTGCCCTCACTCGCCTCTTCGGTATGCTCATCACCTCCAATCAGCCAGGTCTATACCAAGCCTGTGCTTTGGTGGGGGCGGGTGGGCAACAGGGGCTGAGGTGGGGGGAAGGGAGAAGCAAAATAAGAAAAACCATGACCCCTGCTCTCTCTCATGAGACTGAACACACAAAGGTCTCAGCAAACCCCATACTGCAGCATGCATAGTGGTGGAGTGAACCCAATATCCATTTTAAAATGGAGCTCTTAGCCAGCTGCAGGGGCTCATGCCTGCAATCCCAGTGCCTTGGGAGGCTGAGGCGGGAGGATTGCTTTAGGCCAGGAGTTCAAGACCAGCCTGGGCAACATAGCAAGACCCCCATCTCTACAGAAAATGGGGAAAAAAATTAGCCAGGTGTGGTGGTGTGCATCTGTAGTCCCAGCTACTTGGGAGGCTGAGGCTGTAAGATCCCTTGATCTCAGGAGTTCTAGGCCTCAGTGAGCTATGATCGTGCCACTGCACACTGCAGCCTGCGTGACAGAGCAAGAACTTGTCTCTAAAAAAAATTAGTAAAAAGGGGCTTTTCAGCCAGTACTATATACTTCGGCCCTACGTATGGTTAGAGGGTGGCTCAGCATCATCCCCAAAGAGAGGTTTCTAGTGACAAGAGGCTTAAGGGTGGGCTGGGGGCCATGAGGATCACACTTTCAGCAGAAGTTCTGAGTCCCACTCCCAAGGCCCAAGGGGCACCCCTACCCCAGCCAACTTGCAGACTCGGTTCTATCTTGGCCTTCCACACCACACACACGGCAGCACCGCCAGGGTGGCCGCAGAGATAGCACTGCGAGTCAGGCTGCGCTGGCAGGAAAGAAAGGCGGTCTGGGGATGTGTGCGCCCCTAGGATTTCTTTAAAAAAGTAAATACGTGTGTCCAAAGGGTAATATGGATCTAGGAAGTAGCCTTCACTTTGAGCTCAGTCCCCATTGATTGAGGGTTAACAGCGTGACATTATTAGTTTAATTTCACAGTCTAATCAGTTTCCTGCTTTATTGATCAAAGGACTTGGAGCAATTGTAATTTTGGGAGGCTGAAAAGTGAAATTCTGGGCTAAGGGAATAAAGCCTGGAGGCTCTCTGGGCTCAGGGTCCATGCAAGGGAGCGCGTGGCCTCGTCCTGTACAGCCCACCTTATAAGGGCTGCAGGGTCCACAGGTGACATCTCCAGTCACGTCTTCTTCCTCCCACTGTTGAACCACACGGAGAGTGCAGGAACTAGTGACTAACCAGCATCGGAAATGGAGACCAGCCTCGGAAACAGCCCCTCGCCCCACAACACCCAATCCCACACCCACCTCCAGCCATTCCGAGCCCCAAACCGGCCCAGGGCTTCATTGTTAAACACCCTCCGTCAGCAGAGCCCCATCTGTGCGATGGAATTTTTTTTTGTCACTTTTTCAAATCAGAATAGAAACAATTTTTAGTCTATAATTACCATTTCTTTTCTCAACAGACAAATGTTTCCTTTTAAATTGTAGGGCAGAAAAAGCAAAGAACAACATTTTAAACCAAAAAGAAAGACTAAAATTAATTTCTTCTTTACAGAAAAATAAAATACAACAGCTCTTAGAAGCCAGGTTTTTCTTTTCCCAAAAGAGCAACAAATGCAACAGTGTATTCACAGCCGCCATTAACTCCCATTTTAGAGGCAGGTCCCAGAGGGGTGGTGGTGATGGGGTCTGCAGTAGCCTGGGGGCCTTGCACCTTGATCTCCTGGCAGAGCCTGGGCTGCTCCTGATGTCTACGTTTGGTTGGGATGAATGGTCCAAAACCTTCAATGCAGAAAGCTGACTCGGGGTTTAGGGCTCCAGGAATCAAGATCAAGGCCTGGGGACTACCAGTTGCTCCTATGGAGGCTTGGGGTGTAAGCTAACCACCTGGCCCTCAGTTTCCTCACCTCTGAAATGAGAGCACAACCCATGTGGCGAGGTTGTTGGACAATTTCGTGGGCTGCGTGTTTTGGAACTCGAGAACACTGAACCAATCCTACTGCTTTCACCGTGCTGTCAAGACCAAGCCGACTCTTCGCTGAGAAAGGCTCTAGCTCTGTGCCCGGAGATGAACAGCCTCTAAGTTCTGCTCACAGCCTCTAAGTTCTGCTCACAGCTTTCTAAGCAGGCAAGCCTCTCCACCCACCCCAGGAAAGGGCAGTCCTTCCCTGCTCTGGGCTCCACAGTCTCTGAGCAGGCAGAAGGGATGCTGCAGACAGCATGGCGGGGCTTTTGCTGGGCAACACCCACGAGGGCCCTGCAGACACAGTGTGGTATACTAATGCTGCCCAGCCCCCACCCTGGGGTGGCTGGGGGGCGTGATTCTGAGGGAGGGGCAAGCACGTGCTGGCTCTAAAGGGGAGAAGAAGCAGGTCGCATTTAAGGACTGGAAAGAGGTCCAGTGTAGCTGGGCAGGGCCTGCTCAGGTGATGAAGCAGAGGCAGGAAACACACGTGTCCTCCGTGTGAGCCGTGTCTAGGGTCTGGGAGCCCATGTTAAGGAGCCTGGTTTCAGAATGGGCCAACATGGCCACCGTCGCCCAGTTCTCCTGGTTGAGGCTCCATCCCCACTCCCCATCCTAGCTTCCTAGCAGGGAAGTGACACAACACATGTCCACCAACGCAGGATACCAGCCCCGTGTGGTCACTGCTCAGCCCACCATGCTAACCCCGAGCACGAAACCCTGCGGGGGCTCCCTGTTACCCAGAGCTATACTGGTAAATGTTTAACACCCGGCTCTGCTGGTGGTGGTGGACAAAAAAAACCCACCCAGACCCTGATGTGCATGCAGCGTTCATCAGTTTCTGTTGTATAAATATTCCCACTGTGGCCGTTTCGAGCTACCAAGGTGCTGTCTCCTAATGAGGAGCTGGGAAGAGACGTTAACAATGGGCTCTTGGGAGCCACGGAGCCAACCCCAGCTCACCCCACGCTAGAGACTTGTGAGCTGGGTGTGGAGGGCAGGCCACAAAGGTGCTGCTCTGGACCCACGGCTGCTGCTGCTCTATGACCATGAGGAGGCCAGGTCACTCTGGTAGGCAGAGGGCAGAGCAGGCCACCAGCCCACTAGGCTCCTCTCTCTCCCCTCCAACCTTCAGTGGTTTTTCCCACCATCTGCTGGATCTCGTCCAGACACCTCACCTGGAATTCAGGGCGTCTCAGGCTCTCTCCAGGCTCTCCTCCCCCGGCCCCTGCAGAGCCCTCTGCACCAGCCTCGTGCCTCCTCGGCGTTCCTTAGTCACGCATGGGCTGTCCCGCTGCCAGGCCAAGAGCGCAGCATTTGTGGTCCCTCTGCCTTCGATGCCACCCCTCCCGCATGCCCTGACCACAGCTCTGGTTTCCCCTCCCCTGTGACGCTTCCTCCGACCGCCCACGTTCCTCTGAACTGCATGCGCTGGCAATGAACACCACGACTGCACGTGGGCATCCCCTGCCAGACTGCACACTCCATGCAGCTTCCTCTAGAACAAAGGCTCCAGAATCTTCTACTCAATGACTTAACACTCCTCACGATGGGATCCCTATTCCAGGTTTTTCCTAACCTGCTTTTCCCTTTCAGCCTTTACCTTCCTCTCAAGGAAGCAGAGGAGGGCAAACATTAGGGCCCAACATCCACGCTTCTGAGGACACAATGGCTGCAGGTCCACGGATGTCAGGGACGTGACTTGCCATGGCCAGATGAGGCCAGAAGGGTGGCTGGGTTGCATCGGGAGGAAGCTTCGTGCCAGCTCCAGGCCACAGTAAGACAATCACATCAGGACAGGTGGGGCCTGGGGCAGCAACACAGGATCCCTAGAATGAGCCCGAATAGGTGGAAAAAGGCAACTGGGCGTCCTGCGCACCTGATAGCTTTCTAAAAATAGCGGGTGGGCCCTGGCTCTGCTGGCTCGCCTCGGGTGGGGGGGGGGGGCAGGGGCTGGGGCTCACTCGGCCTCTGGGGAGCGAGGAAAGTCCCAGCAGGTTCCATGCCTTACTCTTCCCAGGCAGGGCAAAACCAGGCCCCTCGCCGCCAAGCTCAGGACGGGGGTCTGGGCCTTGCTCCTGCATCTCCTCCCCCTTAGCTCCATCCCACTGCCTGGCCAGAAGGAACTGTCCCTTGGCTGCTGGTCACGCAGGAGAGAGAGGAAGGGAGACAGGGCAAGAGCAGATGCCAGCAAGCTCCGGCCACCATTTCTTCTTGGCCATGGAAGCTGGGTACACAGACATTCTCCTCAAACCAAGGCACTGACGGCATTGAACAGAAATGTCATGGTCTGAAGCCACGTGGTGTAGCGGAAAACAAGAAAAGAAGAAATAAATTCTCTGGGCCAAACCCCAGAAGTGTCCTCTGCCCTCCCAGTCCCGCAGGCTCAGGGACAGGCAGTGGGCAAGGAGACAAAGAGAAAGTTCTTCTCTTCCAGGCGTGGGCCTGGCCTTAGCCTGTATTCTCAGTCCTCAAGTCTTCTCTGGCTTTTTCCTCCCTCCTACGTGCCGAGACAGGAATACTTAGCTCCCAGCACCTTGAAGTCAGGCATTTGGCCTCCCCTCCCAGCATCAGTGCCATAGCTGCACCTGGAGTGCTCAGCTGATTTGAGGAGATCTTTTAAAAACAAATCTCATTCATTAAAAGTAACAGTATGTATTCTTACGAGCCAGAATGTCAGCACATTTTAGAGATCACTAAGTCATCCAGCTGAGAACCAAAGTCTGAGAGAGTTTGGATAAAAAAAATTACAGGCAGCAAAATTACTTTTAAGATCCCCATGAAATAGAAATGGCCTCCCTCCCCACATGGAAAATGCCTTCCAATTCTTTTGCTGAGAGGCAGGAAGCCTGGGAGGCTTTTGTTTTCCTGTAATGTTTTCATACCAAATGTGTTCTGCTCACCATGAAGTCCTTCAGAAACTTTGACTTTTAAATCCAGCTTTCTGGACTCTTGGGAGGGACACATGCACAGCACTGGAAAGGGTGGCAAGGCCAGCAAAGGAACGGAACAGATCGAATCAGAGGTGTCCTCTCAACCACCTCGTCCCTCCACCCACCCCCTCTCTGAGTTGAAGGCCACAGATGCCCGCAAGCATGTTCCTCCTCACTTGGGCAGAGCAGAGATCATGTTGCTGAAATGTGACACCCAGCCCACTGGCCTGCCAGCCGTGTGGCCACCCTGGCACCAGTGCACGCGCGAGCCGCCCACCCGTGAGCCATGAACATCCATCACCGTGACTCACAGCTGCTGCCCTGCTTCTCCTGCCGACGCCTCCCGGGAGCCCGGGGCAGGACCTAAAGGTATTTCCTGGCCTGCTACTTCCTGGGTCTTCCTGAGCCCCTCCGAGCCAAGGCCGGCCCAGCAGGCGCCTGTGCTTCTGTAGTCTCTTCTGCCCTGCCTGCCCGCTCTGGGTTTGGTGTAATAGAAAGAGATGTGGATGAGGAGCCGGGCACTTGGGCCTGGGTGGCTCTGCCACTCCCTAGCACAGCACTGAGCAAGTCATCCCCCGCTCCAGCATCGGCTTCCTTTTCCGAGAAATGGGAACACTTGCATCTCCGCTACCTACGACACTGAGGTGTCATGGGGAGAAAAAACCCTAGATGGGGAAGGCCTTCGGAAGAGGAAGGCATGCTGGTAAAAAAAACTCATTCACATGACAGAGCAACGCTGGTGGTGTTTAGGCAAGCTCCCGAAAGACGCATGGAATCTTCTCTTTACGAGGTAAGTACTTACTTCAAGGTCCCTCTTTCCTCTTTGGTAAAAGGAATTGTAGAAGCGTGCCAAGTCCAAGCAGTACAAACAGCAAATAATCACTTGGAAGAGAAGCTTGTTGAAATGAGTCTTTGCTGGGGACAAGGCCGGCTGGCAGGCTTGGCCTATAAATCATTGCTCCCTCGTCGGCTTATTGGCTCTTGCAAAGAGATGAACTCAGCTGACTCTGACATTTCCCAGCTCCTACGACTGTGGCCTGCACACAGTAGGTACTTCCTCAATGTTTGTTGAACTGAATAATGGCAAAGGCAGCTGGGAAGTATGAGGGGGTAAAAGCCATGTCCACCCAAATAGGAGACTCACTACGTGAAGCCAAGGCGAGGAAAAAAATCCAAATCAGACGTGGCTTCAGTCTGTAGCCAGAGTGCAGTTCATTCCTGCCAGCCTTAGCTGAAAGGGATTTTGGCGGGGGGAAGCTAAGGGAGGTTAGAATTAACATACTTACTGTATTATGTTGCAGCAGTGATAAGACTAAAATTTTAGGATTTTCTTAATGAGACTCCTGCATTTACTGGTTTTCCTTATCAGCACTGGCAAGAACCACCGTTTAGTATTTATGTCCTTTGCTTTAGAATAGAGGAAGGATCATAAGAGGGGTTGGAAAACTCGCTCTACAAAATGGCTCTGCTCCCTTTCTGCTCTCGCTGTGGCATGCAGGCCCTCTGCCCCAGCCCACCCTGGGGTGGACCGTGCTGCCGCTGACAGGCACCCAGGTGGCAAAGCTTCCTGAGTTCCGGGTTTGCTGAACAAAATGCACACTGGTGCTGGTAAAGAAACCAGTGGAAGTGAGAATGCCAGGCAGTTCTGAATGCCTCTGCCCCCCAAGGTTCTGAGAACCATCCCCCCTCCCCACTAAATGCCCGTAACCACCCCCACAGGCAGGCGCATAGATTCTAACATTCAGTTCTTCAGAGACGGCTCTAACACCTGCTCTCGTGGTCAGCTCCACAGGGAACGCAATCAGGGCACTGACAAAGTCGAGTCCATGCAGGTCCTCACATCTGCACAGCACTGGTCACCTCTGCAGGGCTGGGCTTACTCTGTAAACTCTGTGGCGGCAGCAGGGGAAGAGCTGCACGTCCAACAGCCTGGCCTGGAGGTGGTAGATGGCTTTAGAGAGAGTTGCCACTGGAGTCAGGAATAAAAGCTCGGGGGTCCAGACTCAGGGCTTGGGTTGGAGGAGAAGAAACTCTCTCTCCAGAGACTGAGCCATGGGTTTCCCCACTCATACTCAAGGCTACCAGCCTACTTTGTGGGAAGAGAACCCAAAAGACCCGCCTCACCTTCCCACCCCACCTGATGACTCTCCAACCTGCAAAAAGCTTTTTTTTTTTTCTGATCAGATTTCAAAAAGGTAAAAGGTCTTCCATCTGCCCAGAAATAAGAACAAGCATCCTTCTGTGATCCCAAACATAACCAAAATTCAAAAAGCAATCAAAAGGGCCTTAGAGGCTGGGTGTGGTGGCTCACACCTGTAATCCCAGCACTTTGGGAGGCTGAGGCAGGTGGATCACTTGAGGTCAGGAGTTCGAGACCAGCCTGGCCAACATGGTGGAACCCCATCTCTACTAAAAATACAAAAATTAGCCAGGCGTGATGGTACACGCCTATAGTCCCAACTACTCAGAGACTGAGGTGGGAGAATTGCTTGAACCTGGGAGGTGGGGAGGTTGCCATGAGCCAAGATCATGCCACTGCACTCCAGCCTGGGCAACAGAGCTAGACTCCATCTCAAAAGAAAAAAAAAAGCCTTAGAATAAACACACACTGAAGCTTGGTGTTCACAGGCAAGCCCCAGCATCCTTGTTCATAGCCTATGGATGCTTCCTTTGCAAACAATTCTAACAAGCAGGTCCACAGCAGGTCAGGTGGGTACTAGTGCTTTAGGCAAAAACAATGACCATGGCAAGTTTAACTAATGAGAATAAGGGGAGATGCAGAAAGGCTGTGAAAAGCAGGTGCACAAACTTAGTAAGCATAGTGAGCTTTGACCATTTAGTTCAGGGATAAACGTCCCAACTACCTCTACGGGACCCCTGAGTATTGATGCATCATTGCATAATTAATGATACTACTAAGACCACAGACTGCTTAAGAGTGTGGGCTTTGGAATTCAACAGAGCCTTACGTCCTGGCTCTGATGTTTACCATCTGGCTGCAGTCTATTGAACAACGTGCTGAAACTGAGCCTCTGTTTCCTCCCAAGAAATGGGGTACAGGTAGTTACTACTCTTAGCTATGGGGAGGATGCTGCCTGCCTGCAAAGTGCTCAGTGTCTGGGTCACCTGGAGCATGTTCCCTGCAGAGACATCAATAGACACCAGGGAGGAGGCAGAGAGGAGTGGCTACTGGGCCTGAGGATGCTGAGGGAGCTCATGACTGCCCAGCTGGCCCAATGCAGCACATGGACCTAGGGGACAGGCTGCACCTGCAGCTTCACTGTACTAGGGAGAAGGCCCTGACTCTGAAACCCTGTGTGAAGTTAGAGCACCAGTCCTGCTAGAGGTTTCTGACATGGCTGAGTGGAAATAAAGTCTGCTTGGAAACTTCCAGTGCACGAACCTCGCCTCCAAGGGTGCCATGTAGGAGTCCCTTGTCCTTCCTCCTGCAGGCAGAGCTGGCTAGGAGGGCTTGGGCCACAGCCTTCCCTGGGAGTCCTTCTGCATGGCCTTCTGCATGGCCACAAGGAATGCCCTTGGGGAAGCCCCTCGAAGCAGTCCCCTCCCAGGATACCTCCTGCATGTATCCCACACCACATGGCAGGCAGGGGGCAGATAGACGGATACAGGAATATCCACCATCGACTCTCCTAATTCTAGCCATCCGGTTATGTACGTAGCTTGGGGTAAGGCAAAGAAAAATATCTGAGAAGATGGAAACACCCCTGAGGGGGAGCGGGGGGGGGGGTGGTCTTTGTAAAATGAAAGCAGTAATCAGAATTTGTATATGGAGGAAAGAAGACAATTGTGGAAACTATGCATCCTGAACTCGGGTTTATGATAATGTAACATTTCTAGCAATAATATTTGGGGAGAAAAGACAGATGAAAATGAACTGAACTTTATTCGGGGATCTCATTACGATGACTGTGGTTCCTTTTGTTAAAATACTGAAATTCCTATAATGAGATTTGTGTTGTACTAAGAAGAAATGTATGAAAGAGTCACCTTAAAGCATGGGAAAACTTTCATCCACTGTGAAACCAAAGTTTCTTTCCTTAAAGTGTTGGGAGTACGTAAATAGTCCACTGAAAGAAAAGACTTGTATAAATAATCACCTGCGCCTGTCCTTCCCAGTGGGCTCTGACAGTGCCATGATCTCAGGGCCCAGGAAACAGAGGTCAGGGCAGTGGCCTGACCTTGGCCTCCAGCAAAGGGAGGGAAATTCCAGTAGGTCCCCTCCTTGGATTCCAACACAAGCAAACACAGCCAGCTTTGTTCTTATTTTCCTCCATCACCCCGGCTGGGAAGGCTTTGTTTTTGTTTGAAGTAGTCAACGAATCACAGAAGGCCCTGAAAGCCCCTTCAGGCTCCTTTCCCTCCAGCCCTCCCTGGGTGCAGATCAGGCACCTGAGGCCCTGGAAGGCTTAGGTATCTGAGCCCATGAAAGCGCAGAGGCCAAGCCCAACAGAATTAACACGATGAACACCCCTGCCCTGTACCCCGTTTTGAGGTGGATTTGGCCTTGTCTGGGCTGCTTTCTATTTAGCAGAGGGCTTCACCCTCACCTGGGGTGGTCACTGACCACCTTCAATGAGACTAGGAAGTCTTCAGACCCGTCCTCCTCTCTCTGCCACTCCCTGACCTGGCTTCTCTCCTGGGTGGATGATACCAGTGAAAGGAAAATATCTTGGGGCCTCCAAAATCTCTAAGGAAAACTCAAGCTGGAAATTGCTTAGGGCAAACCAGCCTCCCATTCTATTCAAAATAAATTTGTTCATTAATAAAATCAAGTTCATTAATAAAAGTTCCTCTGCCCACTGAGATAGATTCATATCTGATTGCCTCCTTTGGAAAGGCTAATCAGAAACTCAAAACAATGCAATCTTTGTGTCTCACCTATCTGGGACCTGGAAGCTCCCTCCTCACTTTGGGTCTTCCTGCCTTTGCTTCAAGTTGTCCCACCTTTCCAGACAGAACCGATATACTTCTTACATATATTGATTGATGTCTCATGTCTCCCTAAAATGGATGAAACCAAGCTGTCCCCCGACCACCTTGGGAACATGTCGTCAGGACTTCCTGAGGCTGTGTCACAGGCGAGTCCTCAACTTGGCAAAATAAACTTTCTAAATTCACCGAGACCTGTCTCAGATTTTCTGGGTTCACATACCCCAGGGTGGTTTATGCCAACACTCCCTCTGCTGACAGCTCCTAAATAGGGCAACACCCTGGTCCTGGGCCCAAGCCTCATTCTGCTGCGGGGCTGGCCAGAGTTGGAGGGTGTGGCAGCAGCTGTCTAGAGGCCTTGGCACACTGGCCAGGGGGAGTCATCGGATGCCATGGGAGGCAGGATTCTGGGTCTGAGCTAGCAGGTCAGAATGCCTGGGTGGGAGGGAGCCTGGGGGGGAGGGGAGGACGGGGGACCTGGGACCCTGGGGTATTGCCAAGGCTGACAACATAGGAGCTGGATCTGGCTGGAAGAAGTCATGGGTGGATGACGGGGTAGTGGACGGGTCCAAGACTGACTAGCGGAGGGTCAGTGTCAGTTTACCTAGGGAGGCTGTCCCCGCTTGGTGGCTGCAGCTTCTGACATAGCCTCTGGGCACAGACCCCACAGAACATGAGAAAAGCCTTGAGACTGGAAAGTGCATTCCAGGGCATGGTCTGTGCAGGACTCCCAGAGAGGAGAGAAGTGGGCTCTCCACATGCCGCCTGGCAGCCCAGCCCTCACTAGGCCCACAGAGCAGCCTCTTTCCCTGGGTTAAGGATTGCCTGGGGGAAGTCACTAATAAAAAGAAAACATTTTTCCGAGAAAGCAGAGGAGACTGAACACTTTGGCTGCTTCTGATGCCTGCTCAGGACATCTGGAGCCACTCTCTTGGAGGATGGTCACCCAGTTCATGATATGGGGATAGGAGAAAGGAAAGGGACAGCTGTGGGGTGGCTCAGACCTAGGAGTGACTGTGGAGGGCAGGGGATGGCTGGGGCCCTGGACCAGGTGCATGTGTTGGCGTGTGCAGCTGTGGACCAGGCCCAGTGGGGAGCAAGCACATGCGGTGCTTGCTGCGTGTGGAAGCTGGTGGGGAGCTCAGGTGTCCTGGGTACTGGCCAGGGAGTGCTACAGCGCCCACACCAGCATGGAGAAGGTGCACAGAGCCTTCCCGGAGGGGACAGCTGGGGTTTCTTTTCTAGGGCTGTCTTTTCTAGGCCACGGAAGTAGCAGAGGCAGAGGCCCAAATGGGGCTCAGCAGACAGAGGAAAGCGAGGGCCTGAGATCCGTGAGCATCTCCTGGAGAAGGGAAGATCCCCCCTCTCTTTGCAGCCAGGCTCTTGCTCCCTAATCCCCAGTGGCTCAAACACTTGCCCTCCCAGAGGACCACTGGGTTCTCTCACGAGTCAACGGGTAGGCTCCAACGCTTACATCTTTACTTCTAAGCAAGGAAAATAACAACAGGTCACAGTGAAAACTGCTTAAGACTGTTAGGCGACATTTACAGCGTCAGGGTCATGT
Organism: Homo sapiens; assembly: GCF_000001405.40. NCBI lineage: Eukaryota > Metazoa > Chordata > Mammalia > Primates > Hominidae > Homo > Homo sapiens. The sequence goes on along the minus strand of NC_000002.12, from coordinate 23,518,226 downwards.
GGGAGGAGGAGCCATAGGCCAAGTCTCAGGTTCCCTCCGGGCTGGGTCCCCACGGAGGGGCTGAGGAAGTTGGCCCCCAGCCCACCGGACTTGTCTGCTTTCCCAGAACAAGGATAATTCAGGGGGTTACTCTAATTATTACTTCTATGCTCCCCTTTCTTGAGCATTTATGATGAGCTACACACTATCTCATTTAATCTTCATAGTCCTCTGGGAAAGGGGACTTCTCATCCTCCCTGTTTTGAAGAGGAGAACACTGAAGCACAGAGGTAAAACATGACTTGTCCATGAGGGTCTGAGGGAGAACAAAAATACCTACTTCACTCTCCATCTCATTAACCCCACAAGGCTCAAAGAATGGAAGGCCAATGTATCTTAGAGGCAAGAAGACACTGCACTAAAGTGACTTTCCAGTGGTGGGAATGGGCCCAGCCAGTTTTCTACCACAGGGAGCTGCTGAGCAAATGTGCCCTAGGAGCAGAGAACCCTGGGCAGCCATCCATTCAGCGGGAGTGGACTCCGGCGACACATGGAGACCCAGACATGAATTCCATTAGGAGAAAAATGGGAAACACGAGGCAGCCTTGTATCCACTCTGCACATGTTAAAAAGATGGGAAAAGATTCTGGAAAGGACCAAATTTCAAATGTTATATTAGTTAGGTTCTATTTATTTATTTATTGAGACGGAGTCTCGCTCTGTCGGCAGGCTGGAGTAGTGCAGTGGCACGATCTCGGCTCACTGCAACCTCTGCCTCCCCGGTACAAGCGATTCTCCTACCTCAGCCTCCTGAGTAACCGGGACTACAGGTGCGTGCCACCAGGCCCACCTAATTTTTCTATTTTTAGTAGAGACGGCGTTTCACCATGTTGGCCAGGATGGTCTCGATTTCCTGACCTCATGATCCACCCGCCTCGGCCTCCCAAAGTGCTGGGATTACAGGCGTGAGCCACCGCGCCCAGCCTAGTTAGGTTGTTTTTAAAAGTTTCTGTCAAATGGCTTCTGTTCCTAAGTTTAAAGAAAAAAGAGCTCAGCGGACGGCAGACCCCCGGGCTGGAGGAGAGTGGCTGAGAGAGGACGCGCCTCTGCCTTCCACGTCCACAGCGGGCACAGGGAGACAGGGCTTTCTGCACGAAACCTCTCCCTGGACTTTGCAGGCTCCGCACCACGAAGCAGCTGACAAACAGGGAGCTCTGCACTTTCCCTGTGACAGGAAGGTTCTGGACCCAGGCTCTTGCTCCCAGGCACGTCCGTCACCAGCCTGACAAAGCCCACGCTGCCTCCCCTGTCTTCAGAGACATGGGCTGGCGGGACACCACACGCAAGACTTGGTTCTGCTCTGAGGGTCTGGAGGGAATCCCTGCCTCCTGCCTCCTGCCTCACCCCAGATCAAACTGTGAGGCTTTGTAAGCTGAGATCTGTTCACTAATTCCTCTGTGGCCTCCCCAGTGCCAGGGCAGGCATGGATGAGGGCCCTGGAGGACCTGCTGATTGGCCAACCGGCTCGAGGGTCCACTTCCCAGCCCCTTGCCTATGAGCTGCTTGAATTCCAAGAAGTCTGCCAAGAAGTCAGCTGTTTGTAACTCCAAATGTATTTTCCTGTAGAGACAAAGCCATCAACGGCCATGGGGCTACCTGGCTAGACCCCAGAGGCTGGTATAATCATAACCTAGCTTGCTGCGCCATGGCACAAAAGCCTGAATTATGTGCATTGTCCCTGGAGGGTCTGCTGTGTGCAGGGGAAGAGGAAGAGAAAGGAGTGCGTCCAGTTTGTTTCTCGGTGCTGGGGGCGAGCTTGGCTAGTGTAGCATTCCCACGTGTGTGTGCGCGTGTGTGTATTAAGGGGAAGTTTGTTAAAATAAATGAATCTGGAAATCATGACCCTTGGCCTTGAGCAGTGCAGATGCTAGGCTGTGTGCAGGGTGCTGCCTTCGAATAGTTGCTCCTGGTCAGCCCTTCCCAGTCCCGGGCCCAGCAGGTGCCCATGGCCCCAGAGTCAAGGGTCTTCTGTAAGTAGAGCCCTGCCTTAGCTTCTCTCCTCACTTCCTTTACTGCTCAGCCAGCCAGGCTGGGCAGGGCAGAAGGGATCCATAGTTCTCACTGAAACTCAAGTCCTGGAGCCTCAGAGAACCCTTCTAAGCTCTAGGAGGGAGAGGGGACCCTGCTGTCCAGCTCAGCATCTAATTAATGCCAGAGCTTGTACAAATTGACCAATAGACTATAGCTTTAGAATCACAAAATTGATTCATTTATCTTTTTAATAAAGCATGCGTGACTAGTCCCATGCTTTGTGGGGACAGCTATCAATCAACACGGCAGACCAGGCTCCTTCTGTGCCCACTAACTCACTCATGGAGCCACCACAGAGGAACAGCCACTCTGCTCAGATGCCGTGGAGGGCTGCAACTTCTCAGATCTAGTCCTTGTGGTTTCTTTGGGGAGCCGCCTATGAACTTGGTCTAAGTCAACAAACAATTGTGTATTAATACAATTTGGTGCTCTCTGCACTTCATGTGCCATTTGAGCATTCGTGCCAGTTCCATTTAGATCCTCGTTCACAGGAGACCTTCTGTGGGCCAGGAATTGTGCTGGGCATGGGGGATGGTCAGACAGATAACACAGTATTCCTGCCTTTAAGGGTGGACCTTTACAGTTTGTTATAATTGTGACAAGAGTTACTACACAGAAAAACACAGGAGCTGTGGAAGTAGAGACGGGGGCCCCCCAAGGCCCACAGGCACAGCTGGAAAAGACTTCCTGGAGGAGGTGGTGCCTGAGCCAAGTCTCTGAAGAGGGGAAGCCAGGTGAAGAAGGGGTAGGGATATTCTGGGCAGAGAAACATCCTTAGTAATGAAATAGCATGTATGTTGTGCTCAGGAACCGGAAGGGACTTGGAGTAAATGAGCAAGTTGGGGAGTAGAGGTTGTGGGAGTGGGGGTCAGAGGCTAAGACATGACCCTGAACACCAGGTCCTAGGGTGCAGGGGGATATGGGGGGCTTTACAGGCTGTTCAGAGGTGGTCCTGTTGAATAAGGACCCTCCCTTGGGCTGTGGTGGTAGAAATGCGAAGAGGGACAATTTGGAGAAATATCCAGAAAGTGATTTGGGTTAGAGTTGGTGGTTAACTATCAAGTTCATTAATTCATTAACAAACAGTTCCCAAGTGTCTCTGTGTGCTGGGCTAGTGTTGGGTGGAGGGAAAAAGACATGTCTCAGATGAACCCTAGTTTTTAGGCTTGAGAGGCTGGGGGAATGGTGGTGAAATTCTACTGAGATTAAGGACATAGGAGGGACAAGTTCAGGGAAGTCATTAATGGAAGTGCAGGAACTGGAAGGATGGGTGGGTTTCACACAGGTGAAATAGACAGAAAAGAGCATTCCGGGTGGAAGAACCAACTGAAGCCAAAGCAGCAAGGATAGATGGAGCGTGGTCTATTTTCATGAAAGAGAAACTAGACCCTCTTCTTCGAGTCCAGAGGTTTTGAATTAGGAGAATGACAGATCACCACACCCAGACACACTGACCTTCTTCCTAACGGTGCCTCAAAGAAATCAAGCAACATCATCCATTTACTGACTGACAATGGCAAGATCCAGGCCACATGGTCAAGTGGCTGCTTCTCAAATTTGCAGACAGAGGTGCCAAAGAATTCTGTCATCAGCTGTTCCTAGATCCCTGCTGCTAGCCTTCACCTACAAAGTCCAGTCAGGGCACTCGTCAGGATGGTGGAGAATGAGGAAGAAACGTGCAGGAGAGACCAAGGCAATTTCCAGGAAAACCATAAGCCCAGCCTCCTGTGGGGCCGGCGTCTGCCCACCCACCTGGCACTCTGCACCCTGAGGCCACTTAAGGGCTCTCTGATCTGGGGCACTATAGCTCTAAGGTCCACTCCTTATCCTCCCCTGCCCAGGTCTCTCTCCAATGGAGCCCTGAGGGTTCCAAGAACTGGAAAGTGGGAAGCCTGATGCCCAGCTCCTCAGATGAAAAACAGGCAACTGCATTTTCTTGCTCCTTGGAGGCTCCTCAACCTCACTCCCTGGCAGCATAATTACAGATGCCTCCCCCCTTACAAACCCTGCCTACGCACTGCATAAAGGAATACAATTTCTGGCTGTCCAAATTACAAGAGACCATAATGCACAAAAGCAATAAACACAGGTTCTAACAGCAATCAGATACCACTTATTGTAAACAATGGTTTTTGTGATTTATTGCGTTTGAAGCAGGTTCAGCATTACTCCTTAGAAGATTTGGTTATTCTTGTTTTCAAGCAGAGTTGCCGGCAGCCAGCTGACGTCAGATGAAATTGCTCAAGTGCAGCAGATTTTAAAAATAAGGCCTATGTGTTGTTAAAATAATAATCATAGAAAATTTGGGGTGGCTGTAGGCTGACGTGGAAAGTCTATAGATGGAGCCTTTTGGGGTTTTTAGGCCCTCTTGCCAGAGTCCACACCTCCTCGGTGGGTCCTGCACCCAGCGCATCCTCGATCCTAATGCCCAGCACTTCCGATCTCTCCCTCTGCCCTCCTGTCCTCTGAGTGACGTGGGAAGGAGGAGGAGACTCGTAACCAGCTGACAATCCTGTCAGTTTGGATTATCACGTCAAGCGGTTCAGCTTACCTGCTCAGGCCTTAGTTAGTACTCAGGTCCTGGGAGAATGTAGAAAAGTCAAGTTTAAACAATGCATTTGAGCCAAGAGTTTGGTAATGATCATCCAAAACGAAACCTGCCTGGTTCTAGCAGAAGCGGCGGTCCCTTCTCTCCTGGACCCTGCCCACCCTGACAGAGGGCGTGGCTCAGAAGGCAAGGAGGATTTCCGAGGGCAGGCATTTTCAAACTGGCTCAGAGGAAGCCTCAGATCCCATATGGGTAATTCAGGGACTCCAGAAAGAGGCATCTCTGCTTCGACCAGGGAGTTCTGCCTTTATTCATTGTCTCTGGCAGATTTCTATAAGATTGTTTAAGAAAAAAGAAATTGGATTGCAGAACTAGTCCCAAAATAGGAGTCAGCAAGTTCTGTCTCTCTGACCCTTTTTCCACCCTCCCCAAATTTAACATTTCCCCATGACTTAAAAGTGCAGGCAAAAGGATGAACCCACTCCAAGACGGTAACTACAGTGAGACCCTTTGAGAAGCACCACGCTCTAAGGAGGTGTGGCCTTCTCCCCTCTTGGGGGTCACCACGCGTGAAGCATGCCAAGGATGGCTGACAGTGGACTCCCCAAGCCTCCTGAGCCACATCCCACAGCCCACGGCCTGTGTGCCCCCAGGGACTGGGTTTGAAGGGACACATCCTGGTGTGAGGCTGAGTCCCCACAGCATGCACAGAGAAGTACGACACGTTGTCACCTGAGTGGACTGTTAGTGCCTGCAATCTCCAGGGCCTGGAAAAGACACCCTTTAACCAACAGACAGCCCCCTCCAGACAGAGGCGCATACACAGTCCTGTACCAGCGGATGCTTCATTTCAGTCTGGGAGGCGAAGCTCTCTGTTCTTAGCTTGGAGCAGAGAGCAGAAAAATCACTGAGCTATATAGATCACGATAAGGAAAATGGATTTGTTAGTGACTACCCAGTCCTTAGAGAACAGCCGTGATATCTTGTTTGAAGTAAATTCGCAGAACATCACTCATTTGGGTGGAAAAAGCCATATTGATCGCTAACATTTATTGCATACTTATATTCCAGATATCATTCTAAACTTCTTTTATAATTAGCTTAATCCTTGCCATATCACAATGTGATAGGTATTTTTATCATCCCAATCTTTTTTTTTTTTTGAGACAGAATTGTGGTCTTGTTGCCCAGGCTGGAGTGCAATGGCGCGATCTCTGCTCACAGCAACCTCCACCTCCCAGGTTCAAGCAACTCTCCTGCCTCAGCCTCCCAAGTAGCTGGGATTACAGGGATATGCCACCATGCCCAGCTAATTTTGTATTTTTAGTAGAGACAGAGTTTCTCCATGTGCGTCAGGCTGGTCTTGAACTCCCGACCTCAGGTGATCCACCCACCTTGGCCTTCCAAAGTGCTGGGATTACAGGTGTGAGCCACCGCGTCCGGCCTATTATCCTGATCTTAAAGACGAGGAAACTGAGGCTCAGAGAAGTTAGGTCATTTGCTGAGGTCACCCAGCCAGTAAGTGGAAGTGCAGTTCCAAAGTCTGCTGCATCCACTGCGGGTTCCGTCACCGCCATGCATGTTGTTTTCTACCGAGAGCCCTGACATATTTATCTCTGTGTGGTCTCCTGTCAACTCTTTGTTGGCCGGGATCAATATGTGTATCGGAAGACAGGTGGGGTGAATACTGTTTAAAACAACATCAACTCTCACCTGCTGGAGTCAGAACTCGCCACCAGCACGTGTTGTTCACCAGCTGGGTTCCCCCACCACCCCCACCAGCCACACACCTCCCTCCTGAGAGATAAAGTCACTGCAGCCACGAACCGACACAGAACATCTGAAACTCTTAAGCCAGCAAACAAACCTTTGTTAAGTGACGATGTGTCAGGCACCGATATCACATCCCCAGACAGCAAACAGGAATTTCAGAAAAAACAAAATTTGTGTTTTGATAAAGACAAAAGGGATACACTGCTCAAAGATACTCTCAACGCTGAGATAAGTTTTTATCCAGATCCTCATATCTCCCAGCCTCCCTGTCCTCACACACAGCTAACCCTCAGCCTCGAATCATCTCTGTGCAGAGGAAGACGTGAGAAACACCACCTTCCAGGGACTGCTTCCCTAACACTCCCCGCTCCATGGGGACCCATCTTCCTTCTCCAAGCTCCTGAGGCACTTTTTGGTCTGCGCCCTCCAACTGGGCAGTGATTGGATTATTATACTGCATGACACTTTCTCTGATTGTCTTGTGCAGGTCTTGATTCCTTGACTAGGGAGCTCCTTGAAGGTGAGGCTGTGCTGTACCCTTTATTTACCCATGCGATGGCACTTCAGGGGGCACCACTGGGAGTCACCTGGTGAGCTTATTTAGTTTATTTAAATGTCAAATCCTGGGCCACACTCCTAAAGATTTTGACTCAGTGTCTCAGAAGTTCACATTTTTATCAAATGCCCTAGAAACTTCTGATGCCAGAGGTCTGAGGGCCCTCAGAAGGAAGCAACCCTGCCAACAGCTTCATCTTGGACTTCTAAGCTCCAGGATTGTGAGAAAATACATTTCTGTTCTGTAAGCCACACCCTGTCTGTGCTACCTTGCTATGGTGGCCCTAGCAAACTAATACAGCATCCACAGCAGATATTTTGCAAATATATATTTTTTTGTCCAAACTCATATTGGCCAAACTGTTTGACTGCCTGGAATTCTTCACCAGAGTATTCCCACCCCAGGGCAGTGACGTGCTGTCCCCCAGAAGCCTGCCAGTCCTGACTCGGCCGCCTGTCACTAGGGCAGGAGATGGCTTGAGAAGGCATCTCTCTCAGCCCTACACCTGCCCAGCCTTGGGATCCAGCCACCACTTGTCTCCCTTAGGGCAGGAGCCGCCCTCCCTCTGGAGCTCTAACCTCTTGTCATTGTCACCAGCCACTCACTAAGCTCTGCTCTCTGGGCCAGGTGCCACCCAGCTCCTGCTCCCTCCCTCCCAGATAAGCCAGGCCTTATTGTTTGTAAGACTTGGCTGGTGACAATCGGGGGACCCTGTGGGCAGACCCTCAGGAAGGGGGCAGCTCTGCTTGTCCCAGCCTGTGTTTAAGGGATGGACAGACCCACAGCAAAGCCTGTTGAGGCTTGCTCACAGGGACAGCTCACCATCACCACCACCATGGCTGGGGTGGCCCCACACAGCAGGCCATAGAAGGGTCAGGTGCTCACAACTGGGGCTGAGCTAAGGGAGGGTGTCCTGGGATGCCAGCCCTAGAAACTGGATACTAAATGAGGAGGTGGCTCAGCAGCAAACCTCAGCGGCCCTGGTGCCCCCAGTCATGCTTCTTGGTTAAGTCTCCCCCATCTTCCAGACATTTCCTGTCACTCCCCAATCCATCCCCTGCCATAACCACTAGAAATAAGCTCTTCTGAGGGCAAGATTTCAGCAAACTCCCCTGTCACTGAGCACATGGCCTCACACTGAATAAAGGGTCTTTAGGATGCTCTCAGCTCCACCTCCGTCTCATTTCCTCCTCTCCTTGATCCTGTTTTCTCCCTGGGGTATGGGTGACTGTGTAGCCAGTGTGATTAACTCTGCCGGGACCATAATCTCAGGAAGGAATGATGGAATGGAAATCTTTTTTGGAATATAAATCAAATAGAATTTCAGTTGAAGTTATTTAAAAGAAATTAATTGACTTGTACTCGCCACAATACACTGATAAGAGTTCATTGCCAGGTCCGTCAGGAGGAATGAAAAAACAGTTAATAAAATTCAGCTGTCAAAAGCAGCACCCAGCCGCTCTCCAGAGGCCTCCCACCACCCCCCGGGTCACAGCGGGTGGAGTGCACTGGTTTGCAGGGGCCAAGCTCAGGCTTTGCTGTATTTTTCTCTTGTGTAGGATTACTCGAGTTTTAATACTATAAGATTCTTAGGGCTGAGACTTTTTCCCAAGCTGCTTTGTATTTCTGTATTGCACCGTGCACATATTAAATCACAACTGAAGGAAGGATGCCACAGATATAAGACTGTTTTTGCATTCAGTAATTCATTTTTTTTTCATTTGAAAGGCCTCCTAAAGAGATATTTCTTCTCCCCCTTATTGACTGTAATGACCTTAAAGAGGAGGGAGTGGCGATATTTAATTAAATATACCATCCGCCCCTGTCCCTCACTCTCCCAGATCCACAGGCAAGAATAAGTTATGAACTTAAACACACACACAGAGTAAGGCAAGGGAAGGGTAGACTCTCCACACAGCAGTCCAATGAAGATCCTGGACATGGCAGCCAGCCCCATCACCCCACCCACATTACAGCACTTCCCAGCCTCAGCTGGGTGTCATTTGCCTTTCTCATAAGAGATGAGAGTCCTTGCAGTGTGGAGGCAGAAATAACCCGGTATCCCCAGGTCTCCACCAGCCGCAGTCTTCCCGGGTGCCTGAAGCATCTGCTCCTGCCCTGAGCCCTTCTCTTGTGTAGAATATCTGGAGCACCCACCATCACACATTCCGGGCCTGAAGGAGCTGATGGACGTTTTATTTTATTTCTATACCATCCTTGGCACTTCCAAGCAGTAACCCATTTGATTCTCATGACGGAGGTACATAGGTACTATTTTTATCATCCAAATCTTTTACAGATGAGGGAACGGAGGCACAGAGAGTTTAAGTCACCTACCCAAGGTCACACAGTAAGTGACAGAGCCAGGATTGAAACCACCCGGTCTAGCTCTAGATTCTCTGCTTTCTCCATGACAGGGAAGCTGCCTTTTGCTGTGCTAGGCTGTGCTTTATGTTAAATGTCCCTGCAATCAGGGATAGATGTTGGGAGCTGGTTTGCTGAATTGCCTGTATTGAGTCCACAGGTTGTGGGAACCCAGTGTGGGGTCCCACCTCAGGAATCTGCACAGAACAGACACACAGGCATTTTATCAAGACTTTGGGTTTTGTCTGCAAGATGCGGGGATCCCGCGGCTGAGATATTGTGGCAAACTGCAATCTCAAGTTCTTCTAGAACCTCGACACTCCCCCATCAAGAGGTGGAGCCTAATTCTCTCCTCTTGAATCTACGTGGACTTGTGATTCACTTGTAACTAATAGAATGGAGCACAGGTGTGCTTCTGAGGCTAAGTCCTCAAAGGCAGCACAGCTCCTACCTGTTAGCTGGGACCCCTCCTCATGGCCCTGAGCTTCTGTATGAGCAGAAAGCCCGGTAGAGGTCCCATCGGGCAGCATTACTGCCAGCCATCTGAGTGAAGATGCTTTGGAGGATCTCCAGCCCCTGCAGGTGGACCACCCAACCTGTGAGTGTTCCCAGCTGAGGTCCTAGACACTGAAGACAAGCTCTCCCCACTGTGTTCTGTCTGAAGTCCTGACCTACAGAATCTGTGAGAGTAGTAAGACGGTTGCTTACACCTCCAGGTTTGGGGTGGTTTGTTACACAACAGGACTGGAACAGCGTTGAGCCACACAGTTTCTTGGGTGCCTGCCACTGGCCACTTCCTTCCTGTCCTAAGCGTGGGGTCTTAGGGGCCTCAGACCCAGGCCCCTGCTGGGAGGCTGAGAATAGGGACCGTATGAGGAGCATGCGTGAACCAGGAGCCGTCCCTAGGACAACACTAACTTCTATGGCCTTGTCTGTATTTTCCAGTCTGAGTGTCTAAAATCTGCTAAACATTCCCAGTTTGATTGGCAATCATTATGGCAAACATGTAAGTGGCCAAAGATAACAAAGAGAACTATAGAGCCATGGAAGATCAGGCTAGAAGTGATCTTAGCGACCTTTTAGCCCAACCTCTCACTCAGATGGGGCAACCGAGACATAGGCAAGGGAATGACTTGTCAAAGGTCAGAGCAACAACAGAGGCAGAGCCAGGAACAAACAGGCTGCTTTGGGTGAATTTCCAAAGGTCAGGCCCGAAGTGAGGCCAGGTCCCTCCAAACTGCTCCCAGAGATGCACATCCTGGGTCCCTATCTAGGCTTGAGTCAAGGGAGGGGTGAAGTCACACTCAAGAGCAGACGTTAAACATTTAGATTTCAAGAATGTAGCCTCTGCCGAGAGGCACTACAAAGTCAGGGTAGGTGAGTCCCAGGTGCTGTGACATCCCCGAAGCCAGCTGTTGTTGTTGCTCTTGTGACTGTCATTAAGGACAGGCAGCAGGAGAGGGAAGGACGGAAGGACACCCGTGCACTGTGACGCTGCTCCGGGACGGGGCTGGCACTGAGGCCATTTGAGGCGGAGATAAGAAATGGGTAATCTTATTATCTGGTGGGCTAGCACACACAAACAGGCCCCTGAAATGGGCCCTGCTCCTTTGTTCATTTTCTTTCTTACCTTAGCCATTCTGCAAGTCCCTGCTATTTATTTTCCTGCCTCTTATGTTACAGGATCTGGATGTTGATGGTGCTTACAGGTGTGTGGGTCCCTGCACCAGGAAGGCTATGATGGCATGCACGGGAGTGAGCGCCACCAACAGCTGGGCACACCCGTGCAGGTCCACCCAGGCAGCGATGTTGAGCCTGAGGAAATGCGGCTGCCTTCAAACTTTGATTAGAACCCCAGGGTCGGCTGCAGTCTAGCTTTGGTCACAGCTTTTCTGCATTCTATAAAAAGACTCTAAAGGCTCTGAGTGTGGAAGGTTCTCTGGCATAAGTTCAGCATTCTTCTCCCTTTCCCAAATCTCACTCTGGGAAGGCTATGCAGCTCTGGAAGAGAGACTTCTACCCCACCCTGTAGGTGTCAGGGGTTTTGGCATTCAGAAGAGCTGGATGCAGAAGGCAGGCTCATGGTTCTTTTGAGGAGTCAGGCTGTTCAGGTTTGCACTCCTGGGAGCTTTGATGGTGTCCCCTACATGGCTGGAACCAGGAAAGGAAGAGCCGGTGGTTCCTGGAAGAGAGGCGATGGCTGCTGAGCCACATGGTCCCATGATGTAATGCTCTGATGTAATGAGTTCCCTGCTGCTCCCCGTGGCTGTGGCTGCAGCCCCTTTAAATGTCCTAGTGTGATTTCAGCAGCCACAAAGAGGAAGGAAACAGCCTTGAGTACCCCACTTGGGCCAGAGTGGTCAAAAAGGGAGGAGCTAGGGTCCTTGTCCCTGGCAAGGCGGTGGAGTAACAACAATTAATAAAAGACCCTACAGGAGCAGTGGCTCTTGGGGGATAAGGATCAGGTTGAAAGGTCCTCGCCTGTGCAGAGATTCTCTCCCCAGTGGCAAGCTATAGGGCCTGGCTCTGTTACTAGGGAAGGTATTAGTTCCATGGCAGAGGTGCATCGTGGCAATGTGTCTCTATCAAATCTGTAGGTGAAGGGTCAGGCCATAAGCCTTCCTGTGCCTTCAACTTCGCGAAGATAAGCTGCTCTGTTGTCTAGCGGATGACCTGTGAACAACGGCAAGCTGTCCAGCCTGTTGCAACATGAACCAAAATCATGCCCATCTGGAATATGTCTGGGCCCGCCCATCATTCCCAGGGAAGTTTGCCTGTTTTCTCAGCATTTTCTTAAAAGAAGATGAAAGGATACCAAGGGTTCTCAAGCCCAGAGTGCTCCTGTTGCTGCAGAGTGGCTGGTAATGAAGCCGTTCCCCAGGCCCCAGCATGGTCCTCGTGGTCGGGCTCTGGGCTGCATGATCGGGGGAGGCTGACCTAATTAGCCTGGCTGGGAGCTGCCTGGCATTGGCAGTGATAGACGGAACATCCTCTTCAGAGACCCCCAACGCCCTTTGGTTGCTCCTGAACTGGGTCAGGTGTCCTCTGAACCCACCCTGTAGGGGAAGGGCTGGGAGGACACTTCTGATGTAAACCCAGAGCACATGCAAGTTCAAATCCCCACCATTCTCTGGCCTCTCTTCCACGTGACACTGGTATGGGGGTGCCTTTTGAGCATGTTCCTTCCAGTCACCAAAGTCAGTCTAGTAGGAGCTTCCATCTGTTCTCTGGAACTTTCTGTAGGTGGCTCTCCAGGGGTACTTGGGAGGACTTCCCTCCTGGACAAGGAAGCCCTGGCAAGGGACCTGGGTGGGGGCTTTGAGAGGCTGTTGGGATGCAGGGATGGGGCAGCCATGCCTGTGGCCACCCAGACAACCTAACCAGAGTCCACCTTAAGAGGCAGAGGGATGAAGCCACATGTGGACAAAAAGATGGGCAGGAACAGAGGGGAGAAGCGGCACACCTGCAGCCATGATGCCCCTGCAGGAAGGGAAGGAGCGGTGCAGAGAGCTGGAGAGGCCTCTGAGCAAAGTGTCCATCAGGGCCCCAGCCGGGGAGAGCCTCTGAGCACATGCCTCGAGAGAACACCTCCACGGAGGTCGGGGAGGCAGCTGCTAGGGTCCAGGGGACAGCTTGCCAGGACAAGGCCTGTCTCCTCTGACACCCTGCATCACAGGGCTCTCAGATCTCCTCTCAGTGCCTGGGCCTCAGTTTCTCCACCTGCAAAGGCCCCTAGCAGCAGAAAGTGAGGGACCATGGTGAACGACACTTAACCTCGAAGGGAGAGACACTGTCAAATATAGTGTATAAAAAGCCAAACATGAGAGAAGACAGAGCATTCTGGTAGAGGGGAGGAGAGGATTTAAGGGTTTTGTTCCCAGCGGGAAGGTGAGAGGCAAAAGGATGCTCTGAAATGACTGTCCCCCTCATGGCAGCAGGTGGGCAGATCAAAGCTGCTCAGTGCCTGCCCCGTGGAGGCTTCGGTTGGCTGCCTGGGAGGAGCTGGGTCACCAGGGCCATCAGCTGAGCTTGGTGGTTTGAGGAGGAGAGGCCTGGGCACATTCAACGGCCAGAATGGCGGCCCACAGGCTGGGCACACAAGGCCCCTGAGCAGACTGAGGGGAGCTGCCACGGCTCCTGGCTTGTGCCCGGCACATGCTGGCTCGAGGACAGCCAGCCCCAGAGGCCCAGAATTACTGAGTCCAATCCAAGCCCAGCCCCGGCACTAGAACCTTGCTCCAGCTTCTTTTTCTGGCCCAGTTAGTGCCTACCCCCTTCCAGTTCCAGCTGCAAACAGGAGCCATGACTCCCTTTCAGGGAAGGCTGGGCCTCTTTCCCTGCCCCCTGTGCCCCCTCCCTCCAGCCTCCCTAACTGGAAACACTGGGACTTAACCATGGAAACCCTAGGGAGGCCCCGGGGCTCCAGACAGCCGCCTTTGCTGCCCAGAGGTGAGGCCTTGCCTAAAGCTCCAGGCCTCTGACCCCATGGGCAGTGGGGCACCCTGTAGACATCCCTGCCTGTAGCTCTTCTTAGTGCCTAGAAGTGGCCCCCACTCCGACCCTGAAAACTCCGGAATGCTAAGGCTGGTGGGCGATCAGAGCTCTCACCCTCTGCTTGAACTTTTTCCAAATAAATTAACGTTCTAGATCTCTGACATTTGTCTCTTTAAGCACAAATATTAATTTTTAAAAATTCTAATAATTTTTTTTGCTTGAGCACACTTCTGGAACGTATTAAAACTTATCTGGCCCCTGAACACAGTATACGAAGCATAACCTTCTCTTCCCTTGATGACCTGGGATTGCTCTCAAGAATACCCATTACTGGCCTGAGCTGTCACTGCCTCCTCCCGAGCTCCCAGTAGGATGTCCAGACACTGCCTCTGGTCAGCCCTGTCTTGGCCCTCAGGGACCTCTGGCTGGCTTGGAGAGTGCTTTTGTGTGGCGTTCCCAGCCCAGTGGGTTCATCTGGGCTGGAACCAGAGGCTCCTAGTGGAGGAGGGAAGGATGCAGGCACAGCAGAAGCATTCTATCATTTGAATGCCTGGGGTCTGCCTCCGCCTCTCTTTAAACAAAGACGGCAATGTGTGCAGGACTGTGTGGACTAGAGGTCTGGCGTGCTGTGCTCTGAGACCTCCTGTCTGTGTTTCCTTCCTCCTTCGCTGGCAGCTGCTGCCGGTCAGGGTCACAGAACTCACTTGTCACCTGTGGCCCTATTTTATCCATGGGGGCCTGGGAGGAGCTGGAACATGGACGGGGGCAGCTCCTACCCAACAAAGGAAGGGCCTCCTGGCCATGGTGCCTCTGTTCTGGATGAGCGAGGCTGCAGCAGTCTCGGTGGGCTCGTGGTGTGTAGCGGCAGGGACCCTATGAGGAGCCTGCGTGAACCAGGAGCCATCCCTAGGACAACACTAACTTCTATGGCCTCGTCTGTATTTTCCAGTCTGAGTGTCTAAAATCTGCTAAACATTCCTAGTTTGATTGGCAATGATCATGGCAAACATGTAAGTGGCCAAAGATAACAAAGAGAATTATAGAGCCATGGAAGGTCAGGCTACAAGTGACCTTAGTGACCTTTTAGTCCAGCCTCTCGCTCAGATGGGGCAACCGAGACACAGGCAAGGGAATGATTTGTCAAAGGTCAGAGCAACAACAGAGGCAGAGCGAGGCCCAGGCCAGCCCGGAGCAGCCATCCCCTGCCAGGTCTACTTCACAGGACAGCAGCCTCCACTCAGATCTGCCTGCCCTTGCCGTAGCCCTGTGCATTTTAATTGCTTACTCCTTTTCTTATCATGCCCTGGGGTAATTTTACAAAGGGCACAACTACGACATTCAAACAAAACACATCTATTCTCAGGTTATTTTTCCTGATGTAAATCCTTATGATTAAAGAGGAAAATACAACTGTAGGTAAGACAGGCCAAAAAAAAGAAAAAGAAAAAAGAAATATTTCAAGCTTGGCCATCCCCAACAGACCTGAGTCCTGCTAGAATTTTAGTAACCAAGCCAGTGGAGCCAGCTAGAGAGGGCTGAAAAGGGAGAGACCTAGAAGGGGCTTGGACCACACTGCAGCCTGGCTTCTTCTATCTGGAAGTGTCCGTGGTGCTTGGAGAGACAGATGCAGGGTGCGGTTGGGAACCCCACAGGTCCCCCATAAGAATGTGGAGTGGCCACCAGCATCATGGGAATAAGACACACACTGCATCTAAAGAGATCAGCAAAGTGGCCCAGTGGTGGTTTGAATCCCTGCTGACCGCCTGCGCCTAGTGACAGGTGCTGGAAGGGCCAAACACGAGGGGGATGAATTGGTCATATAGGTAGATTTGCAGGAGTTTTATTTCATGCGGGTCAGAGGATGAAGGGGCACAGGGGCCAGAGCCGTCTCTGCCCTCTGCCAGGCCCTGTGCAAGTGTCCTCCCCCTTAGGGGCCAGAAAATCTGGGGCCCCCCAAAAGGTGGGTGGTAGGTGTGGGGAGAGCTGCTGAAACACCCGACTCCCTCCCGGGAGAACCGCCCACTAGTGAGCCTCCGAGCTGCACGGCAGCGTCTCAGGAACACACTGTTCTCTTTGTTGGGGCAGAAATATGTTCGATGCTGATTATGCAGACCGATGAGTAGGCCTCTCTCTCGCTCTCTCTCCCTCTAATCTGGAGTCCTCCTGCTCGGCGGGCACAATTGCATGCAAGCGATCCCGGAAAAAGCACAGAATGAATTTTTTTGCCATCCATTGTTCTGGAGGCATTGCGAATGTCTGACATTCCAGGTGTAGAGTTGTGTAGCTGACTAGACTTCAGAAAACCTCCCGGTCTGAGCCAGGAGCACTACAACCTGTGAAGAATGTGCACCCGGCCTGGCTACACAGCAACAGCACCCGATGGGCCCAGGAGCCAGCAGGAGACCTTTCTTGGAGGAAGGAGTCTTTTTTCTTTGGTTTGAAAATGCAGGTGATGTTTTAAAATTAAAATTAAATTAAGATGCATGTTAAAAACAAACCATCAGTGGCTGCTTCTGGAGGCAGGGGGATGCCTGGGAAGGGGCACGAGGGGGCTTTCTGGGCTGATGGGAATGCTCTTTTACTTGATAGGAATGTGGGTTACACAGATGTCTGCATTTGTCAGTGCAAAACTGATTGAACCGCATGCCAAAGATCCAGGCATTTCGTTGTAGAGAAGTTACATTAAAAACAATATTTAGAGGGGACCTATAGGCTGTCAGTGGTAACAAAATCTAGATTAATGAGTTTTCCAGATAAAAACAGTAACAGTTAAAAATCAGAAACGTTTTTAGTTTTACTAGTTTGAAGGAAAACGAAAAAACAGCAGCGTTCTAAAGCTGAGTGAACAAAGAACTCCAAATTACTTCAACTCTTTTGCTGACACAGGCTCTTCAACCTGAACATCGATGATCGGGCTGAGTGATAATGGAATTAAGCATTTTGACTCCAAAGTCCTGTCCTCGATGCCCATGCTATAGGTCTATTTCCACTGCTGTCTCTCGGCCGCGGCTATCTCCCACCCTCAGGGAACGTGCCTGCACCTGTATAGCCTCTTTCCCCGGGACCAGCTGACACTACAGGGCATCTCAATTAGGTTCAATCCAATTTGTATCAGCCCCCTATTCCAAAGCAGGAATAGGGGGCTGATACCAATTGGACCCGGTCTAGCAAGGAACAGACCCTGAGATCCCAACCTGGGCTGGAAGGGAATCTGCCCGACGTGTTCACGCGGGGAAGAGTTGGGGATTTCTGATTGGAGTCCGGGCCATCAGCCACCCTGAGTCTCAGAGTGGCTCCCGTGTCCCAGATCCCTGAGATGACCCAGTTCATCCCAGGACTGACACCCTCAAACTACTGCAGGAAGTAATTTCAGCTAATCAAGCTGCTCGTCAGCTCTCCAGACTGGGCCACCACTTTCCCAGACAGCACACACAGGCCGGGAGATGCTCCGCCGCAGACAAACAGATGCGATTTCCACTTTTGTTCTCATTAAACAGTAGCATAATCATGATTTATAAAAATATTCAAATCTTAAAAAGCATGTCAAAGTGCAACCTCGTGAACTGAACTCAAAAAAGCTACTCACTCCACGTGCAGGATTTGAAATCCTGATTTCTCTTTTATAAATTGTCGCAAGGGGATGAGGAGTTAGGGAAAGTAATCGGTTTTTAAAACTCTTTTCTTGGAAATAGTAAATTATGTTTCCAAACTCAAAATAGTCCAGTTTTTTTATAAACCTAAAAATCAACTTCCAAAGCTCCAAACAGGTTTTTAAATCAGAGAAACAGTGTTTAAAGTGGCTTCAGAGTCACAGTTGGTTGCCCATCACATATGCATCATGTCACTGCTATCAGGAGCTTGTCTGTTTCTCCATCCTTCTGCTGGGGAAGACAGGAGATGGCCAGGTGGGTGTCTCTACATATCAAGGGCAGTTTTCCTAACATTGGTCTTGACTTCTAGACCTACAAAACTAGGATCTAATAAAATGATACCAAGTGGTATGCAAATTCCTAAGGTTTAAACATAGCACATACACACCAAAATAAATGGAAATTCTAACAATTAAACTTTCTCCACGGCTTCCGATCACTTATCTGTTTGTTCTGACTCCTGAAGAGCCCTCTGTACTCCTTCCAGACATCTCAAGGCGCAGTCAAGTCTCCCTCTTCCATGAAGCCCTCCTGGACTCCCTACCTTCTGCACACCAGTGTTTGACACGAACGCACCACTGTGTCCTTCCTTGCTAAGGCACTGTCTGAATATCCTGCTGTTCCCTTCCAGACCATGCTGGGAAGGGCTGGGGAGAATATCTACTTTAGAGCAGAGATGTTTTCATTCACTGTTATCTTGCTGGCGGACAGCACAGGGCCTGCTGTACAGTTGGTACCAATACATATTTACAGGTCTAAGGAGGGTCATACGTAAATTAATTATCCTCACAACGCTAAAACCAAAGCAAATGCACTTAAATAAACCAATAACCTTCTATCCTAAAAAAAGCCAACACCTCCTACTCCTCTGTTCCCACCCATCTCAGCCAGTGGACAAAGACTATTTCTAGAGAATGCGCCTCAAATATTAAGGTTGAAGCGTCCTAAGCAGTCCATGGAGGAAGATGTGTCATAAACACAGCAGCTGCGCTGTTCCGCCCCACTCCTCCCTCATCTCCTGAGAGACTGCCCTGGGGTCTGGCAGACTCTGGATCTCCAAGTCATGCTTTACTTTCTCTGGGTGGGGGCCGACAGTGCTGTCTCTGTGTGCCCAAGGGGCTGAAGACCTTTCTCCTCTTCCCGCCTCAAACTTGTTCCAGCCATCCCTTTTCTCCTTAGCCTCATTGCCCAACTCTGAGAAGTGCAATTGCTGAAATCAGACGGTGATTCCGATTACTCCATAGCTACCCTAGAGCCAGGGAACGTCACCAAGTCACCTAAAGCCCAGCCACTGCTTGAGTCTGACAGCTCTGGAGCAAGAACATAAGTATCTATTCAGGTAGTCCTGCCTCACACCCACAGAAGCCAGGTATTTTCAATGCAATGTTGATCCAGTTGCCCTAATCTGTCCATTTCCTGTAAGCAGTGGTAGCTGGCCCCTCAATTTCCTCTCCAGTCACCCCAAAGAAGGGAGAGGTAGGGCTGCTCTAAACCATTCCACTGTCTGGCCTACAAGAAATCCCACCAGCATGGGCAGGAGGAGTGAGCCCTGAGCAGCCAGAAATCAAATGGAAACTGAGTACCCAGGCCTGGCTTCAGTGAGTATGCCAAAAAATCCAAAAATAATAAAGTCTTGCGAAACCATTTCCTCAGGCAGCTGCAGGAGAGGAAACTTCATGCAGCAAGAGAGAAAAGGGCTTTAGGGAAAACCTGGTAAGATTCCTCCTATGCCTAATATTTAATACAATTCTTATGGCCACGAAAGGAAACGTGATCGGTCGCAGGGACATCTGTAAGCGTTCAGCCATTCGGTCTGATTTTCAGGATAATTTCTCTCTGAGAGCTCCGTAGGCTCTGTCACTTTCAGCAATGGAAAGAGACACAGTGACAGGTCGCCCAGTCTTGGGAGGCATAGGGGCGGCCTCACCCAGGTTCTGCCTTGAATCTTCTAAGGTTACACTGTCCAATATGGTAGCTACTCGTCAATGTGACTATTTCAATTAACATTAATTTAGCTTAAATAGAATTCACAATTCAGTTCCCCAGTCACACGTGCCACATTCTAAGTGTTCAACAGCACTTGCCAGCACAGTATAGGACATCTGCATTACTGCAGAATTCTCAGTGTGGAAGGAAGCCCCGACCTTCCTAAATGTCCTAACGAAGGCGCTGAGAAAGCTGGGTGTTGGTCAGGGCAGGACTAAGTTCTTCCAGTCTGCTCCCCAACCCCGAAAACCTTCCTGAGCCTCAGCAGAGGGGCTTCCTTTGGCCCCAAAGGCCTGGAGCTCCCTGCTTGGCAGGGAGGGCAGGGCGAGGCCCCCAGGTAGTAGTCTCCTGCCTGATCGGGTGTTTGTTCTGATTTGTCACAGCCAGCTGGATGTCAGGGCACCTCACTGGTGCCGCAGCCTCCAGCCCACTCGGTATGGAGGCCAAGGTAGAGACAGCAGAATGGAGTCTACACTGGCACTTCAGAGAAAACAGATTTACTGCTGCTCATATCTCAGACTTCTTGATTTTCGGGGAATTCTTGCCTGCTTTCCTGGTGATGAGTTCTACATCCAAAACAAACAAACCTACCCTGCCCAATATATGAATAGGATGGTGTTCACTGTCAGTGTATAGGATAATATTATATTGTATGCTGGAAGTTTGCTAAGAGTAGATTTTGGTGCTTTTTTCACACACAGAAAAGGGTAACTAGGTGAGATGATGGATATGTTAAGTCACTTAACTATAATAACCATTTCACTATCTATAAGTTTATCAAAACATTGTGCTGCACACCTTAAATTAAAAAAGAAAAATCCTAGGATTCTGGCCAGAAATCTTGAGTCAGCCCTTCCCGTAGTTCCAGACAGATCTCTGTCTCCTTGAATACTTTCTACCCGGTGCTCCTGTAATACAGGCTGTCTTTCAGAACGGCATCCATACGGTTGGTTTCCCCTGACTTCAGTGCTGAGGCCCACTCGACACCTCCAGCTCACAGCTCAGTGCCCCTCAGGTCACATGCACGCACCAGCCTCAGGCCACCCTCTCTCTTGGCCCAGCTGGAATATTCCCCTCTCCTCCAAAGAGCTTAAGGCTATATTCCTTTAGGAGGCAGGGAAAGATGCTCCTGGGCTAATGAACCTTCCCTGGCTCTCCCAGCCCTTTGCTCCCTCCCTTCCCTAAATCCCTACAAAACTTTTAGGCTTGGCCCTGCCTCTCTGGGTGGAGGTGAGTTGGAGTCCATTTCTGTGATCTCCGTGCTCGGCCCAAAGGAGGCTTGGCTCATCTTGACCAAATGATTATTGCACCGTCTCCCCCAGCAGTCCTGTGCAACTAAAACGGGGTAACAGGGTCCAGGTATGTGGAACTCCAGAGCACGTGCACTGCTAGAGGGAGGGGCTGAGTGACTGCCCAACCCCAGGAAACCCTCGGCTCCCTGCTGTGGTGCTCTAGTCATGGAGGGACAGAGGAAGGAAAGAGAACCACATGGGCAGCCACAAAACCACAGAGAGATTGCCAAGGAGGAAAACAAAAAAGGAGTCACTTACTTTCATCCCGTTTTCAAGTAATCGCAGTTGCCAAGAAAGCAACCAACCCAGCGGAAATACCCACCGACTGAAGGCAGTCAGAAATCTCATGCCAACAGAAACAGCACTGCCTGGTAAAGGTGGCTATGATTGGACATTAAGTCATTCTAAAGGGCTCATAGTTTTTTTTTTTTTTCCTACCCTAGGAGAAACTCGTGATTCTTATATGGTTGCAGAACAAATATAACTGTGACTTATGTTTCTCAATTTACAGAATTGATTTCATGCGCTTTTGACAGGAATATGATATTTCTGACAATTGCAATTCTTCTTGACGCTGCAGTGTTTGGAGGGCAAATGTCCCATATGCCACACTCCCTGATTTGTTTTTAGGGCCTTCCAGGTATGTGAGAGACTCTCACAGAAATGCAAATGGATGGTATGTATGGATGCAGAAGTCTGAGTCCCTGGGTCTGCATTCAGTAAATAACTTTCCCCCAAGCATTGCCACAGAAGTCAGGGGAAGAGGAAGCATGCCAGAGAAATTTCCAAAGCAGAGACAGCGGTGGTCCCTGGGCCCCCTAGGGCAGCTCTGGCCCCTCTTGCAAATCTGGAGGCCACTGAGGCCTTGCTTCCTGCCCAGGCTGCACTGCCTCCCCTCCCTCCACCGCTGGCCCCGCTGAAGGTTAGAGGGGGTGCTGCTGCTGCACACTGGCGGGGTACCCTTTTTGGGGGAAAACATATCTTTCCGGTGGGAGCAGGATGGGGGAGAGGGAGGAGGTACCAGGGCTGTGCTCTTTCTGCATACCCCTTTCCAAATTTAAGAGGACCTGGAATGAATGGAGCAGGAAAACAGGCAGTTTCAATAGTCTGGTGATGTTTCAGCTCTTAAGTTCAGAGGTGGGATGGATCATGTGTGTTCATTTCATTGTTGTCATACAACTTATCTAAATGTTACATATCTTATTCTGAAAATACCATATTACATAAAAAATTATAAGTGGTATCCAGGGCTGTCTCGTGTCTAAGGATGCAAAACCAAATTTCTAAGATCAGTTTGGCTCCAGGAACAGCTGATATCCCACTGCTGCAGCGGGTAAGCCGGAGTCCTCTTTGGAACCCAGTGAGCCCCTCTCGTGCCCCCTGAGACTGAGCAGTGCCGTCCGGGCACTGTGAAGGACACACGGGTGGCCATGTTGAAAAGACAGTTCATCTGAGGTCATGCCATAGGTGACTGGCTGCAGCTCGGGCTGAGGGAGGAGCAGAGCGGCGCTGGCCAATTCGGCAGCAACTCCAGGATTTGGTTCGTAAGTAAAAACAAGCAGTGGGGGAAGAACAGCTGGTGTTGAGTCTGGTGCTAGGATTAGTCTGCAACGCTAATCACAAGAAGTGGAAAAAATTAGGAGGTCCTGCCTGCCAAGGAGGTTTTCAAACACATGCGCGTGCTACAGTCGTGGCGGGATTAGACTCTCCCAGTGCCAACAAGGTAGGCGTCCACAGCCATGAGCCGGAGCCTGTTCTGGGGTGTCAACCCCCGGAGCCCTGGCCCTGACACGATGCCAGGAGGGGCCGTCACTCTCGCTGGAGCTGTGGGTACAGTGGAGGTGGGTACGGTGCAGGCTTGACCCCAAAGCTCCTCTGTGATGTCCTGGAGAGAAGCTGGGACCAATGGGGGCTGGGAGAATGTCCCGAGTCCCAGGGGACATGGCAGGGTTGACTGTTATACCCACTGCCACCCAGGGCAGAAGATAAAGAGTATTGTACTGGTTTAAGTGAGATGACATTTCAGACATTCATGAAAACAAATGGGAATGTCCAGCCAAACATCAGAAGACACAACCTCAACACCTCTGCTGCAAAATTATCATGTGTCCCAGAGCCAGGTAGGGGCAATGACCTGGACCCACCTCACCAAAAAGCATGGCATGGGCACCAGGATTGGGGGGCTCCATTGACTTCCCTGCCACCTGCCTGACAGCCCACAGAGGCACCTCCTAGAACGTCACTACAGGGACCACCTCCTGCAGGCCCTCACATCTTTTACCATTTCCCTTAAAAATGGGGTTTCCAGCCAGGTACAGTGATGCACGCCTGTGATCCCAGCACTCTGGGAGACTGAGATGTGAAAATTGCTTGAGGCCAGGAGTTCGAGAAAATTGCTTGAGGCCAGGAGTTCAAGACTCCGTCTCCAAAAAATAAATAAAATACTCACAGAAATAAATAAAATAAAAGAGATTTCCTTCCAACAGAGGCACTGAGGCAGCACTGAAGGCCCAGGTGCTTGGGGCTGGGTGAGTGGGAAGGAGAGATTGGCTTACGGCGACGAAAGGAGCACTGTCGCTTCATCAAGACCAGGATACTGCAATAGTGCAAGGCCAGTGTGAGCTGCACGACAGATACGCTGATGGCAACTGGGTGTGTGGAAAGAAGACAGAAGGAGCCCGGAAAGCAGGGAGAGGACCAAGAAGTGGGAGAGAAAACTAGGTGACGGTCACCAGAATCCATCCTGGACCAGATGGAAGCCGAGGGGGTCTTTCATGATCCTCAGCCCCAGAATCATGATTGGGGGTTTGGGGTCACTCATGCCATTGCCAAGCCTTTGGGCCAAAACAAATCCTGTTCTCAGAACTCTCCAGAGAGGCTTCGGCAGTTTGCATGAAGGTCCCTGCAGTCCTATATCTTGGAAACGTGCCTGATGGATATTCACGACAAAGCACGTGCTTTTAGAGCAGCCTGGATTGGTTGCCTTTCCACTTGGACTGCATGCAGCTGAAAAAGATGCTCAGGCCTGTGGCGTGCCTGTTCCCAGGAAGCGTTTCCTTAAGGTCACAGGAAAGCATCTCCGTGGAGGAGCTGCTGGTGGAAATGTTCCCAGCACCCTTCCCTGCCTGACCCAGCTTCCCAGACCTTCATTTTGGTGTTGCTATTTGCTTCTACAAAACGTGGAGCTTTTCAAAAGACATTCAATTTCCTTTGTTGCTATTCAGTTGCCATAGTCAATTAAAATCTATCAATGCCCCTGAATAAATTTGTGCTAGGTGAAGAAAGAGCCTCAGTACAATCTCTCGACATGATCTCTATTACCTTATGTTACTTTAATAGCTAGAGTAATAGTTTGTTATTAATGGAATTAAGCAATTTAGTTCAAGCTTCCCAGAGGTCTTATACGACAACTATTATAATTTGTATTCTCAGATTTTCCATTGAGTAGATGCCATGTGTTTTACATTACTTGCTAATGTTTCGAGAGATAGCAGTAGTATATTTAATATCTGGCTTTGTTTAATGATTCTAAACCTCTTTCAGTGTAGGTAAGTGCTGCTGGAATTTTGAGCAGTTTAAAAGTCTACACTGTACAAATAATTATCTCCAATATTACTCAGCTCGATTTCAATTTGTGCTTTTACTTTGCCATCTATCCATCCTAAATATTTGACCCAGAATGTGTTTTCCATTTTTCTCACTAAAAGAAAAAGTCTCCTGTCCCTATGGAGAAGGCCGGAAAACAATGTACTTGTTCAAGTGACCACACGGACACACAGACACAGACACACACGCATAAACATGCACACACACATACACATGCACACACATGCGCGCACACACACACACTCACACACACACGCCCACCCCGCTCCCAGAGATTTAGCATATTCGAATAGAGTCATATTTAATCAAAGATTTAAAAAAGTTTTTGATGATTGCAAAACCTGTTTTTAGAAGAAATAAATGTATTCACTGCTTTATGAAACAGCTTGAGAAAACAAGATCGTACAATGTACACCATCTCTGTATTTAAATAGTTTCATTTCTATTCATGAGCTCCCTGATTAGATACATGGAAAATATCATCAGTAAAATATGAATAATTCTGACAAATTAATAGCCGATTTTTTAAAAAATGAAAATATGTGTAAGCATCTCATCCTCATTAGATAAAGCTGCTATTGGGGGTGCATGAACATCCTGGCCTGCCTGGCCACGGCATAAATCCCTCTTAAACAGCAAGCAGAGAAGCAAAAGCTCCCAGAGGCCCCCTGGGAGCTGTGCTAACAGGAAAGGGCAATGCTATTTGCAAGAACAGGTTGGGGCAAACACTGAGCTGGCCAGGCTTGTGAAGTGCTCTACCTTACGTCATTCCTGTGCGGGAGGCAGGGCAAAGACGACAGGGCTGTGAGATGTTAGAGCAGGAACGGAGCTTGAACATCATCTCGTCCAACTGCCCATTAGATCCTGGAATATTTCCACTGTTGCAGATGAGGGAGAGATGAAAGTAATTTGCCCAAGGTTATACAGCTGCAACGGAGAGAGGCAGGACTTGAGTTCTGGCTTTTGGGCTCAGACACCCGTGCCTTTCCTGTGGGCTGCATCGTAGTATCGTGAGGCTACGGTAAGGAGGGCCTTCAAGGAACCCAGCCGATGGGCAAAAAAAAGAGGAGGTTCGGGACCAGCCAGGACTAGCTCTGTCTGTCTTGCTCTGCAAACCCCTTCTCTAAGGATATCACCTCTCTTTTTCCTTCCTTCCCAACCAGCCTTTGAGACTCAACTCTGTTTTGCACAGAGCCTCAGAAAAATCATGCTTTTCTTATATTCATATAAGCATCAGGCTAAAGGACCCAGCCCCAGATGGAACTCTCTGGTTCTTAATTCCCTTACTTCCCATTGCAAAGGAGATTTAATCTGATGCTCCAGCTAATTTCTTAAAGTCACGGCCCACCAGGCCTGTGTTGCTGCCAGCCAATGGAAGAGTAGCCTGAAGCCAGGTATCTGCCCCTCGTCCAATAAGCTGAGGCTGGAGGGTGGGCCACGTGACTGCTATCAAACAGCAAGGGCTGGGGGTGGGTGCAGGGGTTTTCAGAAGCGGGGGTGAAGAAGACCAGCAGCCCCAAACCGGTCTAACAGATCAGGCCCTCACAGGTTAATTTCCCCTTCTGCACTAGAGGCATGAACAGTGTGCAAGGAGGAATGGTTGATTCAGCCTTGGGAGGAGGTCAAGGGGGCCAGTCCAGAGAGGCCCATGGGAATAGCATCCCAGGTGGAGGAGACCATGTGGAAGAGGCACAGTGGCACGAGGTCTCAGAGTGTGATCGTGGGTGGTATGCTTTCAGCACAGGTGTCTGGAACTTGGCCTCCAGGGTCTGGGGAGGCTGGACGTGTGATCTGCATCCTAGAGCTCCCGCTGGGGCCAGTGTACCAGAGGAACTGGAGGGAAAAAGGTGGAGGCAGGGAGCCCATGGTGGTTGCTCAGGTGCCAGTTGGTGAGGGTCTGCTGAAGGAAGTCAAGAGCAGTGGGGATGGAGGGGAAGGACGAGTGGGAGGGATGGTTAGGAGGCAGAGCTGACAGCCTGTAGTACGTGGAGGCGAGATGCACTCTCAGGTTTCTAACTAGGGGACTGGGCAGATGGTGTTGCCATTTCCAGAGGTGGGGGACATGGGAGGAGGAGGTAGCTTGAGGGAACATGGAGTTCAGCGAGGTCGCACGGCACCTGAGCGGCATCTGGAGGGAGGGGCAGTGGACAGCCATGTCAACAGGACCAATCCCTAGGGATGGATCTGGGAGGCTCCAGCACAGAGCTGAGAACAGGAGATCAGTAGCACCCGGAGGGCTGGAAGACAGTGATATGGGATTCCCACTGCTGGGACAGGGATGAAAGGGGCAGCTACCTGAGGGCAAGAGGAGCAGGAGCAGAGCAGAGCTGCTGGCCCAGCGGGGGAAGGCTTGCATGCATGGGAGCTATAAGCCCTGAGACCTGATTCATACCCCTCAGCCCCCCAGGCATCTGAAGCCACACAGGGCCCTGCTACTGGTTTGCTGGTGTGCCTAGGCCTTCCCTCTGCCTTTTCCCAAGCAGGAGAAAGCCATCACTACAGGAACTCATACTGAACCACCAGACCACATTCGCGCAGGTCCCTGTACTAAAGGCCAGTCCATCTGAGCTCCCAGGGTAGGAGAGCAGAGCTCAGAGGCTGTGTCATTCACATACCCACCCACCTGCAGAGGGCCTCTCTGGGTCATCAGTGGTCCTCCATCCTATGAGGGGCAGTGAGCTTCCACAGAGCACAGGTGGAAGCTGCTGGTGTCCCTAGGGGCTGGAGCACTGAGTTTCATACTAGAATCTGATATAGAGTTGGGGGAAAGGGGAGGGAGAGCATTAGGACATATACCTAACGCATGCAGGGCTTAAAACCTAGATGATGGGTTGATAGGTGCAGCAAACCACCATGGCACATGTATACCTGTGTAACAAACCTGCATGTTCTGCACATGCATCCCAGAACTTAAAGTAAAATAAAAAAAAATCATATTAGGTAAAAAAAAATCTGATGTAAAGAAGGAAAGAGGGCTAGGGTTCAGCCCAGCCTCCTGGACCACCACAGCTGGCAACTGGATGGGCCCAGGGCTGCCCGTTACACCCTCCAGAGATCCCTGTGACCTAGCAGCTGGCATGGGGGGGTTTAGGTTGGGAGCCATCCATGTAACCAGCCCTGAGGAGGGAAGGGTATGAACCAGCATTAATACTGAATGACTGCCACTCTGAACACTTTTACAAGCCCCAACTTTCCATAAATCCAAAGTCAGAAATCAATCATCTTTTATGAAAGATATTAATGGCAATTCCATTATTTAAATCCAATCAATGTAGGTGGGTTTTTTCCCCCATGGTATTGGAGCCAAGTAGTTTGAGAAGGGGGCTTTTGACCAAGCAGCGGAAAAAAACAAAGCCTAATTACCTTGCTCACATCTAAGTATCACACTTAGATAACTGCTTAGGAAAAAGAGATTCTGTTTCTCTCCATTTATCCTGCAGAGTAGGAAGGTTTTAATTCCACTAGCCTAGGAAATATAAAAATTCTTCTCTTGTATTCACTGTGTGCTGTCCGAGTGTTGTCAGGACCACTCAGCATCATTGCTTTTTAAACTCAGTCACTTAGCTGCTGTGATCTACTGCTTTCCAATCAGATTTTTTTTTTTTAACCACCAACCCAACTCTTCCAGGAATTGGCTTCAATGGCCTACAAAATAGCTTATCTTTAGCAGAAACAAGTGGGGGTTTTTTGTTCCCAGAAGTAAAAAGGCACAAAAACAAGACAGAAACCTAGTGGTCTGGGAGATCAAGAGGCCAAAAGAATCCTCCAGAGAATGTATGCGCCTGCACGCGCATCCTCGCCCACGGAGGCTCCCCCAGTGCGCACTCATGAAATAAGTGAATGATCTTTCCATTCAACATCAGCTGAGGCAGGCGGGGAAACAATCCATTGCCAACACTAGAGCAAGGGGAGTATAGATAAGAAGACTGTTTTTTCAAACGCAAATGTGGAACCTAGAGTGGACAAGGAGTCTCCTGGTACCCGCCTGAGAGGACTTCCTCTTTCCCCAGCCACCTCCTCCTCTCCCTTAGGACCTGATGTGGGCACCTCCTCCTTGGTGTGGGTACCGCCCACCCCACCCAGCTCCCTGACCAGACTCCACGCATGCAAGTTTCACTGTGAGGTGCTGATCCGTTCACATGCCCCTCTCCCCAGCTGTTGCAGGGGCCAGGCACATTCACTCGGGGCCATCTAGTGCCGTCCCTGCAGGAAGGGCCTTGCCACCACCATGCCCCCATCCCAGAGTGGAGCCTTGTTTCATGCATTAATGCGAAGCTGGTTCTCTTGGGAGGCTTTCATGAGGACAGATTCAATAGCGCAGGTTTCTGAGAATGACTTCAGCGTGGCAGGAGGTACGCAAGGACTTCTGACTCACCCTGCTTTCGGAGGCAGCTGGGGACAAGCTCTTCTCCATTTCCACTCAAAACAAAACAAGGGAAAATGGGCTTAAATTGCAGCAAGGGAGATTCAGGTCAGATAGAAGAAAAGCCTGCAGGAGCCACCGGAATAGGGACTCTGGAAGCTGATGGAATTTCTTTCCCTGGAGACCTTTGGGAAGAGGCTTTAGTGTCAGAGACAATCCATCCCCAGGGCTTTCTGTAGAAGGACCAACCAGGCTCGCGGGTAGGCCCTTCCTCCCAGCACATCACTCAGCACCCCGCTGGGGAACAGGAGGGCACCTTCCAAGTGGACCCACAGTCACAGACCCATCCTTCCTTGAGGATGTCACATTGTTAGAGCCCACGGAAACGCCATGTTCTCTGCTTTGTGATAAACACCAGTTTCTCTCATTCCTTTATTGCTGGGGTTGGAAACTACCCCTCCCTTCCCTAAACAATACTTTTATTTTCTGTCAATCTGTCCACAACCAGGGCATGCAAAGTCCTGTCCTGATGGGCTGTAGTAGCCACCCCAGAAGCGAGAGCATCCCAACCTCCCTGGGACCGGCCAAGTCCGAGAATAAAAGCAAGACCCTTAATACAGATTTAGGATGTGGTCCCTTCTTCTTTGGGGGTAAGCAAGAGGTAGATGGCTTTGCATTAGTCACCAGAATGCCCAGGCAATTCCAATGAACAGCCAAGGTCAGAGGCACTGCCAAGCCTGGAGGAAAATGTGTGGCCCACTTGTGGCCCATCTGTGGGACTTTCTAGATGTGGTTTTGTGTAGGCGACACTCCCTGCTCCTACACTTGTGATTCTGTCTCCTCCTTTTGATTCATGATGTCTTAATGTGTCCTTTTAAGTCTCCTGCAATTCTTCCTGGAACTCAATGAGGTGAAAACAAGTAGAATAGAGAAAATAGAAAACCTTTCTGCTTTTCTCTGGCTCGGATCTGGGCACAGCTCCCACCCATCAGGCCTCTCCTTCCCCAGACACAGGAGCTGGGTCACGGTCTCATTCTGTAATCCCGCAATGGGGAATTGTAGCCAGTTCTGCCAAGAGCCCTCCAAGGCCCCATAGTAGAGGCTGGTCTGGTTCCCAGCATCTGAGTGCTGAGACGAGACTGAGCGGGAGACGGGGGATGCCCAGAGACGGCTGCCAGAGCATCATCCAGTCCAGGCTGGCAGTAGCTGGGCCCCCCTCTCTGCCTTCCATGTCTACTCCTCAGCCCCATGCTGAATAGCAGGTGGAGATTGTCAGCAAAAGGCCAGGGGCGCCCAGGGGTGGAATCTTTCCCCAATCCTGAAAGCAAGGAGCTCAGGCCAGGGGCAGGAGGTGTGTTATTGCGAAGCCCACCTGACAAATAAGACGGGGCCAGTGCCTCCCGTGAGGCAATTCTGTTCAAAGGAGATGGGAAGATTCCAGCTGTTTGAAGCTGTTCTAGAAAGCAGCAAGTGACCCATTGTCTTGCCACGCATCTGCCAGTCCTGACCACATCACTGGCCGTAGGAGGTTAAAAGGCTAGAAGGGGCCTCCCCTCGGGCTGGTTACTGTGGTTATTGAGGAATGAGCATGCACCGAGCCACTGTGGCTTCTCCCACCACACGGCCCAGCTGCAGAGGTTTGTGCAACATTCCAGATGTGTGACAATTACAGGTTCAACATCTAGAAACTCCACCCTGTTCCTTGACACTTGCAACTCAGGGCAGTTCTGTTTTTCCCTGAGAAGAAAAAACAGGGACCTTCATGACTATGGGCCTTGAAAGGCTGGTTATAATACAGGGGCCAACAATGTCTGCAGTGCCCCTACCCAGGAGAAAAAAGAATGCAGCCTTTTAGCAGGGGGAGTGGGACACCCCTGAGGACCCCTTCTAGCCTTGGGCACTGGGGGCAAGTCCTGCAGATGATACAGGGTGGGCTGCTGGCCTTGATGGCAGGTGATGGCATGGCAGGAGAGGAGGAGCTCTTGGCAGAGCTAACCCAGTCCTAATGACCAACCCATGCAGCCAGGGTTCCCAGAATCTGAGCAAAGAACTTCTTCCCCAGGACGGAGTACTTCCAGGGGGTATAGCCAGAGGCTGCAAAGTGTCCCTTGGGCAGGAAAAATGCAATAGGCCTATTAGAAGATGGAAATTCAGGTAGCATGTGCAGAAGACGTCCCCTCCTGCCCCTCTCTCCAGCGTCCTTGGTTTGGCCTCCAAACACCACTAGAAGCCTCACTACAACATTAAGTAGCCAGCCAGCAAGGAGACGCTCTGCTCTATGGCCTCTAGGAAGTACCTCCTGGGACCCATCTAGGGCTCATAGTCTTGCTGGAGAGACAAAGGTCACACACAAATAAAGCCTGGACAAATGACAAGAGGTACAGCTGCTCGCACGAGGGAGTGGGACACCCTGGCTAAGAGTGAGAGCTCTCACATCATACAGATGTGAACTCCAGACCTGGGCTTTCTAGTTCAGCGACCTTGGATAAGTTATTTAGTCTCTAAACCTCAGTTTACTTCTCGGTACAGGAGATAACAACAGTAGCTACAGCCCTAAGGCCACTGGGAGGATTCCACGAGAAAGTGCATGCAAGTTGCTTAGCACAGCCTTGGGCACTTGGCCAGCCCTCACTGGGTTCACAGACTCAGTCATGCCTGAGCTCAGGGGAGGGGTGATGCCTTTGGTCAGGAGTGGTGAAGGAGGGCTTCAGGGAGGAGGTGTGGCCTGAGCAGGGCCCTAAGGATGGGCCCTGTTGACACCAGAGGTGAGCAGGGAGCTGCCCTCCAGGAGGTGGCTGCAATTCCGCAGCTGTGCTCGCCCTCATCAAGCCTCATTCTAAATGGATTATTGTTTATTGGCAGCTTATCCCATCTCTCGGGTTATGAATTATTTACCAGAAAATGACTTCATAATTGTTAATGACAGATGCCCCAAGGACATGCTGACATAACTTCTGAGGCCACAGTGCTAATTGTGGTGGAGTCCCAGAAGCCCCCACATGGCCCCATCCAGAGCGTCACTTCTAGGGACAGAGCCTGACTGGTCCTTGGGGATCGATCATAAATCCAGTCCCCTCATGATGCAGATAAAAACAACAAGATCCAAAGAGGGGCACGGACATGCTTCTGGGTCTCAAAGCCTGTCAGTGGCAATCGTGGGAGGGATAAGCCCCAGCATCTCGGATGGCCCATTCATCACTGTCCAGGTTTGGGCTGCTGGACACTGTGTGCTGATCAGGAGTTCAGACCCTTTTCATGGGGTGAGGGGCTAAATGAAATGGGGCTGTGATAGGTGCTTGCAGATTCCCTACCAGAAGTAAGTGGGAGGGGCCCCAGGACCCTCTGCTGTGGCCTATGGAGAACTGGAATAGGATGCAGCCCAGTGGCTGTCTGGGATCTGGTGGGCCAAGGAGGGCCACCTCTCTGGGAACAGACAGACATCCCCTACGACTGGATGCATTCAGCAAGCGAAGGCTGCAGGATGACTGACAGGTGAGGGTGGGAGGTGGGCATGCCGACACCTTCCTTGAAGATGCATTTGGGCTCAAAGAAGGTATGAATTAAGTCCATGACTCAGCCAGGTCCTAGTCTTTTAGAATAATAAGAGCAAAGCCTTGTACATGTCTTACGCACTATTCTAGGCACTTTATTATGTTAACTCATTTAGTCCTTACAACCACCAGAAAATTTTATGAAAATCTCTATTTTGCACATGAAGAAACTGAGGCACAGGGAGGTTAAGGACTGTGCCCAGAGGTTGCACAGCTGGAAAGGGGCAGGGCTGGGGTTAGGACCAAAGCAGTCTAGCAGCTGTGCTTGTGACCATTTACTTTCTGCTGCTTGCTGTTGCCTGAATGAATGAACAAAGGCCGTGAGGACCCTCTGAATATGGAACATACCTTTCTAAACATGGCTTGAATGCAATGTTGAGCATACTGAGAGCCTGGGTTCTAGCAAGATCTGGGAGGCCTAGCTTCCTCCTGGGCCATGGACTATGCTTGGAACAGTGGGAAGGAGGGCTCTGGCTGGGTGCACCATGTCCCCAGGGGTGGTGGCCTTGGGAGAGCAGGGTCAGTGCGTCACCCTCTGCCCTAACATGGGCAGCTGTTAGCTGCCTTGATGGGTGTGGCTGGCTCCTTTCACACACAATTTAGACAGGTTAAAGGAGCCACTTTAGATCATTCATTTATCTCAGAAACATTTGAGAGCCTTCTTTGTGCCAGGCTTTGTGACTGAGACACACTGACTGAGACAGTCCCTGCCACCAAAGACTCCCGGTAGTCTCCTGAGAGAGTTCTGGGATCTGAGGACGTGGGGCTGAGGGGCCAGGAGCACAGCCAGAGGCCGTGGGAACTGACTTTTTCCATTCATCAATTCCTTTTCAGCCTGTGTAGGGTGTTTGGCTCTGCAGGCTGCCCTCAGTACTGGGGGTGGGAATGAGCCTTGGGCATACTGGACAGTGACAGGACCACACCGGAACCAGGAAGCAGCAAGTACTACAAGGGTGCCAGGGAGAGAAATGGCATAATGGCATCAGAGGAGAGAGAATTCCCTCGGGGGCGGCCCTGGAGCTCTTTGCCAGGAGATAGGTAGGGATGGGAGAGGCGCTTCTGGAAGACTTGCTCAGCGGGACCAAGTGCCCCAAGGTGGGATATGAACACTCAGGTAGGTCAGGGAGAACAGGAGTCTGCAGAGATGGGAGCAAGAGCCCAGCAGAGACTGGTGCAGGCCAGATTTCCTTTATCTGATCCACAGAGGCAGCAGTGGTAGTTCAGGGAGGACCTGCGCAAGATGGCAGAGCACCGCGAATGCATTTCAGAAAGCCTTGAACTGGTGCTAAATAAATAATCACACTGTTCTGAGATGGAGAGGGAGGACACCTCCTCTCTGTGCTAATGGCAGGGGTGTGGCTCTCTGGCTGGCGGGGCCATCCCACATCCCAGAGTGCTGATCCCAGAAGGGCCTGGACAGAATGTCTCTGTGTTCTGACTTCCGTTTTCCACTTTCAGCACCTGCCTGTGTACCTAGAGAACGGAGTGCCGGGTTAATTGTTGCCTCCTGTGCTGTTACTAGGTTACTTTGTAAAAGCAGAAATGTGCTTCTAATGATTTTTGCTGTTGCTGCTACCTTACGAGCCAGACACTTTTATCTAAATGAGTTGCAACACATCAAGGGTGGCCCGTGAGGACTGCTAGGCTACGTCTGTCTTCCACAGGTGAGCTCGGGCTCTGTGTGTGAGGCTGAAATCTCCCCATTCTCTTCACAACCAGCCTGATTACAAGAAAGGGTGAAAATAGGTATTGGCGGCTGTCATGAATGGCCTCCAGGTGGTCTAGGAGCAAGTGGAGGGGTCTCCAGCCTGCGATGGTCATTCTGTGACCTGTTCCACTTGGCTCAGGAGGGTGACAGCCTGGGTCTGGTTGACTCATGGTCTTTAGGCCTCTTGGGTCATGGTGGGTGGGAAGAAGGGCAGCCCATACGTGACTCCTTCAGTTCTCTTCCTGAGTGGGGGTTGGGACCACATTGCAGCCCAGCAGATGGTCAATGCCTGGCTTGACACGTCGTATGTGCTGCACTAATGGTCGTGGGAGGCAGGCAGGCATGTGATTGATACTTGCTGAGAGCTTTTTAGGCTTCAAAATAAGGAGTGGCAGCTGACATGGGAACAAGAAGGGCCCCTGGGTTGTATTAGGAACCAGGACACAAGGACTCTAGTTTCTGCTCTGCCTGATGGGCTGTGTGACCTTGAGCAAGATACTAGACCTCTCTGGGCTTTGGTTTGCTCCTTGGTACAATAAATGGCAACAAGAACCCCTTTTTGTCTACCTCCTAGAGTCCCTCTCATGATCCAGGAGAGGAAGCTATGAAAACACTTTGCAACCTAAAAGCACTAGGTCACAGAAGGAGGTAACATAAATCGTCTATCTTTAGCCTTAGAGGTTCCAACAAATTGGAGTTGGAGTGGGAGTTGCCAAGGAGTCTCTGTTTTGGGGTCAGGGAGTCCACATGGAACCTAGCTGTGAGGGTGGCTCTGGCCAATGCCCTGTGAGCTTTCAGCTACATCCCCATTATATGAGACAGTGACCTTGGGAGGGTTAGCATGGCATTCAAGGCTGTGTCTCCCAATTCTTAGGTTTCCCTTAGCATTTTTGCTCTGATATCTTTGGTCTTTTTATATCTTCAGGCTTTTACACAAGCTGTTCCCATTGCCTAGTGTTCCCTGCACACACACATATAAATGCATAGGTTTCAATTTCCAGCTTTAACTCACCTCTTCTTTGAAGCCTATGGTTTTGATCAAACTAAGCTAGTTGCTGAATATTCTCACCCCCTCAAGTGTGTGCTCTGGGTCAGGGGTTTTTATCTCATATGGTCACTGTGATACCCCCGGTGCCTACAACAATGCCTAGCATTATAGTAGATGCTCACTAAGTCAAGTAAATGAGTTGCTCTTCCATAGCACTTGGTATACATTCTTTTTGCTGCATTTATCACATATTTGCCACATAAGAATTGATCGCGTTAATCATGTAAGAATTCGTATGTACTGGCTGCCCCACCGGACTGAGAGCTCCTTGCAGGCAGGGCGAAAGTCTGACCTCTCTGGATCCCAGACCTAGGACAATGTACAATGTGACTACCAGTAAGTGATGGATGAATGAATGAATGAATGAATGAATGAATGAATGAATGAATGAGTGAGCGTTGCAACACTCTTCTGTTTCACCATGTGCTGGGTATTCATCCTGTAGTCCCCAGTACTCCTGGCACTATTTGTCCTGTTGTAAGAGAGAGAGACAGGGGTGGAGTTGGAGGGAGAGAGGAGAAATTTATGATTAGAAAACAAAAGCTTAAAAGTCTTTCTGAGTGGCCTCTGAGTATGAGTAAATGAGATCATCCCTACAGGAGAGAAGTCCATCAATTTCAGAGCATGGTCACTCAATGTATGCACACACAGTGCTTTCCCTGAGCAGGATGCACACATGGTGCTTTCCCCGATGGATGCTTTTGTGCAAGTTAGAAAGAGGCACTCCTCTCTCTGAACTCTCAAGGGCACAGCGACACTCCCAGAGCACAGGCTGGGGGTCAGCACCCATGTCTCCTTGGCCAGGTGCCCTCACGGAGGACACAAACTCACCACTGTTCCTGGCAGCCGCAGCCACCTGAGCAGGTGCGAGGTAAGCAAGGAGACAGGCCTCTTAGAAAATCAAATTTTGCCGTAAAAATAAACTCTGAGGTTTGTGGAGAAGCTATTTCTAGCCCAGGTGCCAAACAAGGTTCTGTAGCTAGACTGGACGGCTGTGCGCCCCTCCATCTCACCCGCCATTCACTAAGAGAAACTGCCCATGTGCATGCTATCCTCAGCTCCCTGGCTTTCAGGACTGGGGAAAGAGTCCATCCCTGGGCATCTCCAGCCTTTTGTTGACAATCTCCGCCTGCTGTTTAGCATGGGACTGAGGGCAGCGGACAAGGAAGATGGAAAAGGGGGGCATGGCCTTCCACAATCCTGAACTGGGTGGCGCTTTGGTGACCATCGTTAGCCATCTCTGATCTCCCCCCAGCCCAGTCTCAGCACTCAGATGCTGTGAACCAAACCAGCCTCTTCTTCTTTTTTTTTTTTAACCTGTCACCCAGATTGCAGTGCAGTGGTGTGATCTCAGCTCACTGCAACCTCTGCCTCCCGGGTTCAAGCAATTCTCCTGCCTCAGCCTCCCGAACAGTTGGGATTACAAGCATGTGCCACCACGCCCGGCTGATTTTTGTATTTTCTAGTAGAGACAGCGTTTCGCCATGTCAGTCAGGCTGGTCTCGAACTCCTGACCTCGGATGATCTGCCTGCCTCGGCCTCTCAAAGTGCTGGGATTACAGGCGTCAGCCACCGCTCTCAGCCCAAACCAGCCTCTTCTACGGGATCTTGGAGGGCTCTTGGCAGAACTAGCTACAATTACCCATTGTGGGGTTACAGAACGAGGCTGCTGACCAGCTACTGTGGCTGGGGAAACAGGAGGCTCCTACCCTCTTTCCAGCGAGGGCTGACTGGGGTGGGAGCTGTGCCCAGATCCCAGCCAGAGAAAAGCAGGAACCTTTCTACTCTATTTGTTTTCACTTTGCTAAGTTCCAGAAAGGATTGCAGGGGACTTAAAAGGATACATTAAGACACCATAAATCAAAAGTAGGAGAGAGAATCACAAGTGTAGGAGCAGGAAACGGAGGAGGGAATGTTGCCTACATGAAACCGTATTTAGAAAATGCCATACACAGGCTACAGGTGGGCCACAAATCTGCCTCCAGGCTTGGCAGTGCTTCTGACCTTGGCCACACCCATCAGAACCACCTGGGGAGCTTTACAAAAATCCAGATGCCTGGATCCACCTCCCAGAGACTGACTGTGATCTCACAGATCTGGTATGTAGCCTGGGTATGAGAATTTAAAAAATCTCCCTGGGTGATGTCATAGGCAGCCAGAGTTGAGAGTTACCGTTTCGAGAGCATGGAAGAGGCAAATCTGTTACAACATGATTTGTGGGTCCATGAGATCCTATGACAGTGGCTCGGGAGAAGAATATGTCTGTGGTGGAATCAGAGACACCTCTCCCAAGGGTCCTAGCAAAGGAGTCACAAGTGACAGGATAAACATGAACTGCCACAGAATCCTAAACGAGGGTGCACTGTTGTGACCTGGATGGAGGGCAGCAGATATTCTAACAGCCCGTAGAGTTCATGTGGGGTGGCGCAAGATGAACATAGTACAACATAGCCAAGGTACCCAGCTTTTGGATGGCTTGATCCAGGGGGTAGATTTTAAAGGAACTGAAAGATGAGACAAATTACACATCATCCAGGAATATTGTTTTGCAAACTCTTTATAACTCCCATCTCAGTTCCTCAAGCCATAGAATTCAGGAACTTGGTAATAACACCTATGAGTTGAAAGTAGTGGTTAAAGTTTTAAAACACACTGATATCCTCATGACAGCAATTAGAATATCTGGGGGAAGGACCTAGGCATCTGTAGTTTTTTTTTGTTTTTTTTTGAGACAGAATCTTCCGCTGTCACCTAGGGTGGAGTGGTGCAGTGGTGCGATCTCAGCTCACTGCAACCTCCACCTCCCACTTTCAAGCAACTCTCCTGCCTCAGCCTCCCGAGTACCTGGGACTATAGGCGTGTGTCACCATGCCCGGCTAATTTTTTTATTTATAGTAGAGATGGGGTTTCACCATGTTGGCCAGGCTGGTCCTGAACTCCTGGCCTCAAGTGATCCGCCCACCTCGGCCTCCCAAAGTGCTGGGATTACAGGCGTGAGCCACCACGGCCGGGCCATCTGTAATTCTTAAAGCACTCCGGTCAATGTGCACCAAGGGCTAAGAACTGCTGGCCCTGGTGGCACCGTTCCTCCCTTGTCACCTTTCAAGGTCCTGAGAAATGGGAAGGCCGTGGTTATTCCCGTTTTACAGCTCAGAAGACTGAGGCTCAGAAGGTTTTATAGGGCTTTCCCAGAGTTAGAGGTAGATTTGGGACTAGAATCCAGAGCTTGCCTCCAATCCCAGGTTCCCTGCCACCACGCTGCTTATGAGGACACACTGTCGGTGGTTCTGTAATCTCTGAACTGAATAAAATAATCTAATCCCAAGAGATATGCATGAACAGGGCCCTGTGCCGGGCTTGTAGAGAAAAGAGGATGATCCCTGTCCTCAGTGAGCTCAGGGTCCAGGAAGGAAGGTGAGCAGCCTAAGGCAAAGGAGAAGGAGATGCATGGCTAAGGGAGGGAGGGAGGAGGACTGAGACAGTACGAGTACAAGGCTTCCTTGGAGAGCAAGGAAGCAGCTTTGTTTTGGACAGGTAGAGTCTGATATGTGAATCAGACAGCAGGGATCTGCTACGCATGAGCCACTGGAGAAATGGTCCGGACCTTAGGACAGAGGTGCCATCTGGGAGTCAAGTCTGGGAACAGCTGAAGCAGAGGGAGTGGAGGGAGGGCTGGGGATACAGGGAGCCAAGGAAAGCCTGCGGCACCAACAGCTTCCCTTCCTGGCAGGAGGAGGCGGTGGAGCTGGAGGACGGCAGCTCACACGAGCAAGATGGACAGGAAGCAGGAGGAGAGGCCACTTGCTGACACCGAGGTGGACAGCGCAGGCTGGGGGTCTGCAGCCCTGTTGATGGAAAGGTGCGGAGCAGCTGCAGGGCACCAGGCAGGGAACGGACCAGAATCCCAAATGATGCCTGTGTAGGGCTGAGGGTTCGGCTGAGGTTCTGTTGAGGGATCTGGGCCCCAGCTAGTGGGTGTGGTCACACGGCCTTTTCAGGGGTGTGAGCGCCCACATACCTATTTGAAGAAGGGGCTGCAGAGGTCCCCAGAGTGGGCCAGGGAAAGCAGGTACAGTCAGAAGACAAGGGGGCAGCAGAGTGTCTGTGTCGGCCGGAGCAGCAGTGAGATGTCTGCCTGCAGGTCCCTCCTTGAGGTGGACACCACGGAGGCCAAGAGGGGAGTGGACAAGGGGAGAGCTCAGGAAGTAAGGCTGTCCATGGCACGAGGGAGGGAAGGCAGGCAGCGGGCAGGGGAGTGCGGTCAGAGAGGACGCCTGCAGGATGGACTGGGGGAAGTAAAGGCGGGGGGTGTGGAAGCCCAGGACATGGCCCATGGTGTTCTCTAACTGCCGT
Organism: Homo sapiens; assembly: GCF_000001405.40. Classification (NCBI taxonomy): domain Eukaryota; kingdom Metazoa; phylum Chordata; class Mammalia; order Primates; family Hominidae; genus Homo; species Homo sapiens. The sequence continues at coordinate 23,478,864 of NC_000002.12, read as the reverse complement.
TAGCTCTGGAGACATTTGCAACCTCCTCCGAAGACACAGGCGGCATCTAGGGCATTTCGTTTGCTGAGGGCAGGGGGACAAACGGCCTGGACAGACAGTACTGAGACGGCCTCAATGATGGAGGCAGGGGATGCTGCCCAGGGTGGCTCCAGCACCAGTGACGATCAGCACTGCCCTTCACCACCTCCAGAGCCCGAGGTGTCTGCTAATGCCATTCTTGGCTCAGCCTTGGGCTCTGCGCAAACTGAGTCCTCGGCTCAACTCCCCCCACCCCTCTTTCCTGCAGTGCAGGTATCAGATTTCACTCCTCCTAGCTGGTTCCAGTATGGCCTTCTTACTTATTTGGGTGATTTCCACCAAACCACAGAAAAGCAGAGCGCAGCCCTCCACACATGGCTCTTGAACTGGCCTGTTTTGTAGCAGGTTACACAGGACCCTGTGAGCTGGCCCAGTTTCCACAGTAAACTGATAGCTGCTTCCACTGATCCCCAGGGGTCACAGAACCATCTAGGGGCCTCGGAACCTTCCTATCATCTTGGAAATCAATGGGACTCCTGCATGTGAGGGGAGGGCACAGCCAGCACCAGGCTGCATGTTGCGGACACTCCCAGGCACAGTCCCAGCTGCACGTAGTGATTTGTTTACTGAGAGCTCATCAGGTACTGGTATGAGTGGCAGAGGGAGCGGAACACAGAGACAGATCAGGTATGATTCCCATCCTCCAGGAACTGGCCGAGTGCTAGGGAAGACAGACTTGAGTTCACAACAGGGACCCTGGTCTGGGGGCACAGAGATAGAGGCCCACATAGGGTGCATCTGACCAGCTATGCCTGGTGAAACTGCCCTCAAAGTCCCTCCCCATCCTAAAGTACATGATTGCCAGAGCTCAGGACGAACAAGAGAACAAGAGCCATGTGCCACCCTGCATCAGCAGCAGGGAAGATTAGACCCCAAACTAAGGGTCAACATTGAAGAAACCAAAACCCACTGCCCTGGGGTGTCTCTGTTCCCTTCACTCTTGCCAAACTCACAGGTGCATCCAAGGAGAGCTGGCTTCTGTGAAGAATACGTCCTCAATCTTTTCTTTGCCCCGTGTAGGAGCGGGGATGCCATGGCTGCCAAACTGACGCTGCGCTGTCTTGTTTTCCAACTCCCCTTCTCTGACCCAACAGGAGGCCTGGAGGCAAAGGATTCCCCAGTGCCGGCGATATCGCTAGCAAGGACAGCTGTCGCCCACCAGTGGTGCCATGGGCGTGTGCCAACAGCCCACCAGCTCCCTAGGTCAAGAACCCACCTCTCCTCTGGCTGCCCCCACTGGGCTGCTGGGAGGCTGAAGGCTGGATGCACTGTGGGGTCACAGGGTGGGGAACCTTCCATTTCAGTGGCTGATCCTGGCCCAGCCCAGAGCCTTCTCCCGCTTCCTGCTGACAACCAAGGCTGCGCCTAGCCTGAGATTCCAAAGCCATATTTTCTCCTCTCTGTGCAAGGGTTCTGGCAGGGGACAGCCATCCCCAACCTCAATGTCTCTGAGTCCAAAGAGAAAGCTCTCTGACCAGCAGAGAATCTGGACGTGGCAGGAGCCTTGTTGGTCTGATGTTCTGCCCCTGCTGCAGAGGGAAGCTGGAGTTTGGTCCAAGGCAGAGGCCAGGAGGCCACCGGTCAGAAGGCATGAGGGTGGGCGGCTGAGAATACAGCAGTCCCGGGGCTGCTATGGCCTGTGCTCACCCAGCACTAGGCCCTGTGTGTTATGCAGACGCAGCCTGTACTTCTAAAGGCTCAAGTCCCACAAGGACATACAAGGCTGGGCCAGCTGGGCCTCCACTGTCCTGGATCCGAGAGCCCACTCCTCTGCCCTCCAGCCTGCTTCATTCCAGGCCCAGCTCCTGTCCCTTCAGTAGCATGAAATGTGGTGAACGTTGTCAACTCCAGCTCCAGGCCTCCTTGCCTCTGCAGGCACATTCCTGGCCTGCCTGGTGGGGGCTAAAGCAGATCCCAGATCACGGATTCTGTTCATAAGATTGTGCCCTCCCAAGGCAGGCCAGGTTCCCCGGCATTTCTGGCTGCCTGATCCTGCTTGGAGAACCTGGAGTCAAAAGTTTAAGCTAGGACTCTAAAAATTTAAGCCAAAGAAGTAATCAAATGACTATGCAGATACATATGCAACAATGTTTGTTGTGCTGTTATTTGTAATAGTGAAATATTTAAAATATGCTAAATGTCCATCGTTAGGGCATTAAGTGAATCATGTATGCTATTATATCCACAGAGTAGACAGTCTGTAAAAATGGTGATATAGATTTCTATTTACCGACATACGAAATGGCTTGATACATTGTGGAATCTAAATAACATGCCCCCCGAACAGTACCCACAGTCAGATCCTGTGTGCACTGTTTACGTATGTGCATAAGAAAAAGCTTGGAAAGAAACACTAAAATGGTTATCTCTGGGGAACAGGATTATAAGTCATTTATATACTTTTAGCTACTATCCTTTAAAATCCCTTTATAATGAATAAATAATATTTTCATGATATTTAATAATACATTTTAATACCAAAACTTAATTATAAAACTTAATTACAGTTTTTAAGGAGGTTAAAGGTCATCTAGTTGCTGGCCATCCCTAGATCTAACCTCCTGGGGAAAGCCAAGACCCAGGTAAGCAAGGAACTGTCACAGAGATTCTCTGATGGGGCACGGTGGCTCACGCCTACAATCGCAGCGCTTTGGGAGGCTGAAGCGGGTAGATCACTTGAGGTCAGGAGTTGGAGACCAGCCTGGCCAACATGGTGAAACCATGTCGTGATAGCACACGTGATAGCCAGTCGTGATAGCACATGCCTGTAGTCCCAGCTACTTGGGAGGCTGAGGTGGAAGGATCGCTTGAACCCAGAGGCAGAGGTTGCAGTGAGCCAAGATTGCGCCACTGCGCTCCAGCCTGGGCTGGACAACAACAAAAAGAGTCATAGATATTCTCTTTGGTTGATTCTAGGAGGATTGAGGCTAAAATGGCTTAGCTAAGCCCCAGTACCAGTTGATCACACACGCCTGTGGTAAAATCGCACTGAGGAAGAGGGCGAGGGGACCTACTGTACTTTCTTCCCTTCCCCCACACATTTAGCATGAGAGGAGAGAGCTGGCTATGCTCAGGTCTGATGCCTTTCTTATTTCCAGGTGAGCTAAGCAGAGACCTACCTTGCGCCGCCCGTCTCTGGCAAGCTCAGGATTCGTCCCCAGGATGCGAAAACCACGATGGCCGCCAACACTTAGCAAAGCGTGAGCATCACCAGGAAGCCAGATAGTCTAGAAAGAGAGGGAAAAACAGTGGGGTAGGGGTGGGGAAAAGGTCTAATTTTTTTTCTTTTCTTTTTTTTTTTTTGCAAAAAGATGTCTTTTGAATTCCAGCATCCTGGGTGGTCCCCACACTAACTGGATGCTAGTCTCTGCCTCAGATATCCCTGATGCTGAGTTGCATACTGTGGATTATCTCACACAGGCTGTGCACAAACTCTGCCAGCACATGCAAAGTGGGGCGAAGTGGGTAGCAGAGTACTCCGAGTGGCAGATATGAGGCATCCCCCGCCCATCCTCCGAATACACACAGCCCTAATCCCCACCATTGAGCCATTGACACTGAATAACAGAGAGAACAATGGTATTGTCTTCCATCTAATCCAAACTAAGAAACTCCAGCAATGGGGAAAAAGAAAACATTTAAGTCTTTAATCTAATACTGAAAAGGACACAAACTCTAGAATTACAAAAACAAATCATTACTTTTTTCACACAATGGGCAAGAAGACCTTGAGGAGGCAAAGAATAGGTTCCCTGGGGAGAATTTTTTTTTTTTTTTAAATTATAGATTTAATACCTAGGAGAAAGAGGCTATCTATTACGGGGAGGCAGAGCTACTCCTGGTTCCTTCTTTTAAATGTAATCTATGAGAAAGCCATCTTCACAACGGGAAATGGCATCCCCCACTGCAAAACGCACGACTGTCATTACCTGGGAATCAATATATTTTTTTAAACCAAATATATCATTATCAATTGATTTTCCTTTTTCCTCTTAGCACTCCAGAGTCCCGGGTAGCAGGGGAAAGCTTTAATGTGATATGAAGGATTTGGACAGGTAAATAAGTTATTGTAAACTCATTCTGCCTTATGGTCAGCTTCCCTCTGACAACGCAACGAGTCTTTCTCAGATCCTCTCAACCTAAGCTTTTCCAGCGGCCGCTGATAGAGATGCACGTGATCCATATCAAATAGCCATTTTCAAGCTGAAGGTGGCAAAAATATTATTTTTCTCAAGGATAGAATGTTCTCTTTACGACTAAGAAATAACCTCTGCGGGGAAGCAAAATCAGCCAAGGTCGCCATTTAATTTTGACACAGAACCAAAGTGGCGAGTACATTTCCTCTCCAAGGTGAAGCACAAGGAGAAACTGATCACTTTGACCACAAGGTATTGGCAATACTGGTGATCGATGTATTCTGGGAAAGATCCTTGGCAGATAAGTGCTGGTGAACAGAGAGGTCTAGGAGATAGGGGTCAAACCATTTTTAGGTGCTTGAGAATCTCATTCATTCATTCATTCATTTAATAAATATTGATTCCCTCTATGTGTCAGGCAGTATGTTCAAGGCACTGGGAATACATGAGTGAACAAAAGAGAAAGGTACTCCTGCCCTCAGGGAGCTCATATTCTAGAGGGTGGAAACACAGAATATACAATACACTTAAAAAGTAGTGAAAATTGTATCATATTTTGGAAGGTAGTATATGCAATTTATTAGAGAAGAAATGGAGCAGGGTAGGGTGCATGTTGTCGGGGGGCCTGTGGTGCAGTTTAAGTAGGGTGGGCAGGGCCAGTCTTGTGAGTGGAGGACATTTGAGCACACACTTCAAGATGAGGAGTAGGTCGTGTGGGCATCTGGCCCTAAGTGTTCTAGGCAGAGGGAACAGCCAGTGAGAACATGGCTGGTATGTTCCAGGACCACCAAGGAAGCCACTGTGGCTGGTGGAGGGAGATTCTAGTAAGAGGTGAGGCCAGAGTGGTGAGCATCCTGATTGCGTAGGGCCCTGTAGGCTACTGTGAAGTCTACTAACTTGAGAGCCCAAAGATCCCAGCCACCATCTTTAGAAGTGGCTCCCAATTTCTTGAGCCAAAACCCTCAGAGTTCATGTCGGGTTAATCCACTTCCTTTCCAGGCTGTGCCGAATGAATATGGAATAGGCTAGACTGTAGCCTAGAGGGACAGTGGTGGGAAGGAAGCACAGGCTGTCTACGCCTGTCCTGACGACAGTGGCCTTGCCCTTCCATCTCTGTGGTCCCTACCTCTAGGGGAGACAACTGAAACAGTTCTGAACAAAAATAAACCACATGCACAGCTGAGTTCTCTGGGACTTTTCCTCATGTGCTGATGAAAAGGTCTGGAAGTGAATGACCCATTGGCTATTATAGACTGTACTGGATGTTTTGTGTTGGGCCCTTTTGACCTGCCTTCCACCTTCCCCACCCTGTTCTTCCCCACCTCTCCCAGGCGAGCCCTGGGAGGCTCACCTGACCTGTATGGAGAGCATCCCTCATGTTTTGGACCCTCTGACTTCTGGTTAGGTTCAGCCCATGCAAGCACTAGCAGGAGACTGGGGACAGGGTCAGGGTTGACTGTTGGTTCCCCTGCTCCCCTCCCTCTCTGCGTCTTCATGAGCAGGGTGTCCCTCACCTGCAGGTCATGGCTCTAGCTGGGGAACAAGGAGCTCCACAAGGCTCTCTCTCTGGATTCCTGTAATAGCTCCTTCCCCTGACCATTATGCTCAAAGGCAGTAATTCCCCTCATCCCATCATCAGCCTGGGGGCACTGTGCTATGATGGTTTCTCTATACTGTGCCTATTCATCTTTGTGGATAGTCATTTTACTTAACTCTCTCCAAATTACACATTTGAATATGTCTATTTCAAGACCCCGATAGATACATTCACAGAGAGGGTTAAAAGCAAGACCCTGGAATCAGATACATCTGAATTAGAATTCTAACACTGACACTTAGTTTTGTGACAGCAGGTAAGTTCTTTAACTCCTAGGAACCTCTGTTTCCCATTCTTTTTAGGCCAACATTCAAATTGAGGAAATACAGAGAATACCACAAAGATACTACTCGAGAAGAGTAACCCCAGGACACATAATGGTCATATTTATCAAGGTTTTGTTTTGTTTTGTTTTGTTTTGAGATGGAGTCTCACTCTGTTGCCCAGGCTGGAGTGCAGTGGCGCAATCTTGGCTCACTGCAGCCTCCGCCTCCCGGGTTCAAGCAATTCTCCTGCCTCAGTCTCCCAAGTAGCTGGGACTACAGGCACACGCCGCCATGCCCGGCTAATTTTTGTATTTTTAGTAGAGACAGGGTTTCATCATGTTGGTCAGGATGGTCTTGATCTTCTGACCTTGTGATCCGCCCGCCTCGGCCTCCCAAAGTGCTAAAACTAGAGAACCCGTGACATCCTCCTCCTCTTCCTCCATCTCAGCATCACCATCTCAGAAGTGCCATCACCTGCTCAAAGTCCAGGGCAAGCACACCTGCTTCCCGACATCTTTGCCGACCCCAACCAGAAACTCTTTCCTTGAAAGGGTTTCTAACTGTTCTCGGTTAACATTTAGCATCAGTCTATGCCTCAGTGATTTTATTTATTTTTTCACATCTTTCCTTTCTTGTTCTTTTCCCACCCACCCAACCCCCACGCCTTGCAGTTAGACCCTGGGCTTAATAGACAGTATCTTTTGGAATCTCTGGTCCATAGCACCCATCATGTAGCGGTGTATAAACGATCCTTGACTCATTATTGTCCTTTCTGGGAGGCCTATAAGCTACATCCATGCACCTAAGCATGTCCCACTCTAATGAGATACATGGTATTTAAAAGTGATTTAAAAATAAATTACTAGAAACCAATTTTTAGTAATAATTTTGTTCCCAAGTTAACACTGTAAAATCTTAACGTTTCCAAAGATCATGGCCTGGGAAAATGAATCCCAGGAATGAACCCAGGAAATCACAGGGAGGCAGGTATGGTTTTCTATCTCCAGGTGAATAAAGAGATTGCTTCAGGGCTTAATTTGTGACACTTTTGGCCAAATTGACCTTTTCCCTTCCACTAATTTCATCAAACGGCAGCCTACAGTCTTAAGGAAAACAAATCGTAAAAGCTAAAGGACAGAGGACTCTAATTTATTTTAAAAAATACAGTAGGTAGTCAGTCACTGCTTGTGAAAGGGGTCTTAGGACTTTCAGCTTCCCAAGGTACTCAAGAGATGTTAATTGACTTTGACAAGGCATTAAGACCAATATGAAAGCAAGACCCTTGAATGGGCTATTTGGGTTAAATGCTTGGAGAGCTTCAAAATGAAACTAGAGAAAAATTTTGAGATCCATTTTACCTCTAAGTCTATAAATAAAGATAGTTCCTAACATGAACCAAACTGATGGTCAAGAGAATTATGAACAAGGGCCCCAGGATTTTTTACTTCTTTATAAAATACACCATGTTTTTAGGGGAGAGAAACTGCCTTAAGAGAGGAGAAACCAATTAGGGAGCCTCCAGTTTGACACAGCATCAGAAAGCAGCCCCGCCAGGGTCGTAACCACACTCTCCAATTATGGGTCCAGAACCCAGAAGTTCAGCACCCCTCAGCAAACTGGGCAACAAAGAGTCTTTCTTCCTTGGAAAAGAAAAGCAAAGGAACTGGAGGCTGTAAACTGTAGGGAGGAAACCGGCTCCCGAGCCCACCCTCCTGTCAGCCCAGATATGGGACTCTGCGGCACCTCTGACCCTGGGCAGGAACGCCTGCTCCCAGTGTGTCCTGCAAGGGGAACGCTCATTCATATTCTTTTTAAGACGAGAGAAAAACAGGCCATCCATCCATTAATAATATCAACTGTGGGTTCACCAAAGCCTGCAGGCTTCTTGCCAACACAAAAATAAACATTCTCAGAAGGTTTATCCATCAGGTTCACGACAGTTCATGAGCCGGGGTCCGGAAGGCACTGCTTTTTAAAGGGGAGAGTGAAGATGCAAAGATGGAGTAAGTCATGAGAGTCCACCCAGCACAACGCAGAGATTGCCTATTCCATTAAGGAGCCACAATTGGCCACTGATGAGATCCGTTATTTTCAGCTGGTAGGGATGCAGCTCCTGGCATGCTTTTTGTAGGCTGTATTCAAAGAAAGACAGTGTCTGCAGAAGCCAGGCTGACCGATTTGAGAGGTAACAATGTTTTCATAAGGCTTGAAGTTTACAAAGCCTAGCCCATTCTTATTTTCTCATTTACCTGTTCTAACAAATTTATGAGTTGATTACTTTTGTAATCCTCATTTTACAGATGAGGGAACAGAGGCTCATGGCAAAAAAAGGTTGTCCAAAGTCACACAGCAAGTCAAAGAGGGAGCCTGAACAGCAAGCCTGGATTTTGTGCCTCCCATTCCAGGCTTTTGTTCCTGGGCCTCCAGCTGCCGTCACCCTTCTCCTCGTGAAAACTCCTCCCTGGACACTTCTTTCTGCACTCTCTGGAGTACGAAACTTTCCAGGCAAAATACTGGAGACTATCACAATAAGGACACACGTGCCACCCAAGGAGGCTTCCTGTTGGGCCAGCACAGCACCAAAGGGCCCATCTCCTAGTTGCCTTGGATGGTTTGGGGCGAGGAGAATGGGAAGATAAAGAAAATGAGGTGTTCATAGTTGGACTGGATCCTAAGTTATGCCATGACATGACTCCACCATAAACCCAGCATGAAAGGTTTCAGGAAAAAAAGTTGCAAACCAAAATCCTCTTAAAATCTTTTTTTTTTTTTTGATACACAGCAGACCCCCCCAAAATGAAATGAACTCGAACTCACCCAACTCAGCCCTGCCACTCAATGCTGGCACATATCCCCCCACCCTCACTCTACCAGTTAATACAGATTCGCCCATCACTGGAAGCAGAACCGGAATGACCCTTGCATTTCCACAAGATGAAGAAAAAGAAGCCAAAGGTGCCAACTGGACCTACCAAAGCTTGACTCACCCACAGCAGCACTGAAGATGTCGGCAGGGAGGACCCACCTGGCACGTAGTAGATGCTCAGTAAAGAGTAAAGCTCTGTTCAAAAAAGGAAATTGCCTCCACGGTTCAACTCATTTTCCACAATTTTTCTTTGAACATCTGGAAGATGTTCACACCATAGGTTGATGATTGGAATATAAACCAGTTTAAAAAAAAATCAGACACTGCTTCCAGATTTTGCTCTTATAAACAGGCCTCCATCCTCCCTGTAAATTGCAATAATTCCTTCCCAGATGTTGCTTCTCCTTCAGACCCATAAATCTCAGCTTTTCATAAGGATGCTTCGCCTCTGCCTGGTGCTGCGGGCTGCGTGGCGTGCTCCTGCATCTTCTCTCCCTCATTAGATGCCACACGAACCCCATGAGGCAGGGCAGGTGCCCACATCCCTGATTCCCTGACGGGCAGGCCAGCTGCCAGCTCTCTCAAGTTGGACTGCGGTGGGTGCGGGTGTTGAGCAACACACAGTAGCCTTTTCTCCAACACCCTCCAGGTCACCATGTGGGTGGGGAGTCAGAGACTCACAGCGCCTACTCCCATCTATAGAGGCTCCACTCCCGCTGCCTTGGTGCCCTCAGGGGCATTGCCCCTTTAAAAGTCTGACTCCAGTGTGGACACAGCTTTCCTCGACTCTCCCTGACACTCCTGGGACCAGGCTATAACATTTAAACAAGACTTGACTGGAGTCTTGTGGAGTAAAGCAAAACAACAGGCAAAGAAATAGGCGAGAGCCATGAGAAGAAAGCAACACACAGCCAGACAACTTGGCTCCCGGCCGGTTTTCCAGGAGGGCCCCAGGGGCCTGGTCAGGCCCATCCCAAGTCCTCAGCATCCACCAGACAGAAACTCGCACCCAGGAAAGAGGCCACCTCAAGTCTGGACGCCGTAAGCAGAGCCCAGAGAGAGCAGGGCTTCTGTGTTGCCTTCGGCTTTCCCTGTTCCAGTTTCTTGTCTGAAGTCTGTCTTTTGCCTGGTGATCAGCCCTGGAACTGTTGGCCCGGTTCTTCAGGGGAGCCTGTGACCTGCACCCCAAGCACTCAAATAGCCAGCCACATCAGAAAACACCACAAGCCCTCTAGCCAGACCAAAGCTATAGGTGTCGGGGGGCTGGAGACGGCCGTGGGGACAGGAGAAACAGACAGCATAGTAGCTCACTCCTAGGGTCTGGAATGAGCCAGTCTGGTCCACAGATATAGCTGCTGATGCTCGGCGGGGAGGGGGGCGGTGTCTCTTGAAGCCCCACCCCTTTAGGGCATGGCCTCTTGATAGCTTTAAAGAGGAATGATGGGAACAGAATGGCTTCACAGGGTAAAACAAGGTGGGCTATTAGACTTCGTGATTTGCTGGTCCCCTTACAGAGATGCAGAGATCTTCTCCCAAGTCTGAATCCTGTAGCCTCACTCCTGGTCTGCACAGCACCACCTGAGCTTCATTTTGGGTTTCCATCCTAGTCTCGGAGACACCAGTTCAGAGGCTGGCTCAGCCTGTGTAGTGGTCAGGAGCATGGAAGATTTATAATCTGAGGGAGCTGCATCTAAATCTCAGCTCTGCCGTTTGATGGCAATGACCACGTCTGCCCACCCTCCACTCCCAGTCCCTGCCTCAAGCTCCTCTTCTATACAATGGGGATGATACCACTAAACATCGATGGTTGTTCTGAGAGTTGAATGTTCTACCATAAGAAAGAAACTTAACATAGTCTATGGCACATACACATGGCAGCAATAACCATTATAATGATCATGCCTGCTCATTGAAGAACAAAATACCTATAGTGCCATGGGGATGGCTGGGAGTCACACTAGATGGAGCCTTCTCTTCCACCACCCCGCCAAAGAAGTGGGCACGGAGGGCACAAATGAATGAAGAGGGGTCTTCCTCAGAAGGCGGTGGAACCAACGGGCTGATCACGTGTGCAAGAGTGCTGGGTTGGTTTCACACTGGTCAGCGACCACTCTCCGCTCCCTCCAGCTCTCTCCCTGAATTTCAGCCTTCACAGAGCCCCTGTTCCCATCCCGCCTGCAGCCAGCGATTGGTAAACCAAAATCAAGACCTTCGGGCAGATGCTGCTACAGCTTCTATTTCATGATTCTGCCTTTCCTTTGAGCCCAAGCCTACAGAGCCAGTGGCCAAAAACCCCTTCCCCAACACAAGTGGGTCTTAAAATGCATTGCTTCCTCACTCAGTAAAAAAGCTATTTTATTTGAATAGATCTGAGGCTGTTTTCTACACTCTCAGAATAAAAAAAATTGTGAAAGAAAGGCTTTAGAGATTACAGGACTTTTTACCCAAATATGATGAGTTATTCATTTAAAAATAAACTACAGACAGGCATGTTTCTCCATACACAGGCAGAAAGATGCCATTAACTAGGAATTTCTGTAAGTACTCTGCTTTTCTTGGCCAATATGGAAAGAGCCTAGGAGCTGGAAATAGAATGAGAAGCTAATTCTGTTTTCCTGGTCTCTACCAATGTGTGTAGGTAAGTGGCTTGATCGCACTGTGGCTCTGTGATCCATCTGAAGAAACACGCGGGATGGCTTACCACCCTGACTGCTCTTCTGGAAAGGAGGCCAGCAGCTGAGCAGCAGTCAGCACGGAGGTACCCATCATGGAGCCACAGCCTGGCACGAATTGATGTCTGGATCCAGGCAGGGTCACCAAAGGCAGGAGAAGGTGAGTGACAGGAGGGGGTGAATGACAGGAGAGGCTGAGTGACAGGAGAGGGTGAGTGACAAGCTCAGGTCCCACAGCCAGTCAGCAGGAGAGTTGGGATGAGACCCGGGGCTTCCTAACTCTCTGGCCACTGTCCTTTCTTTCACCCAAGATCTTTCTACACTGTAACTGTCACTAAAGAGCTTCCAGGAAAGTCCCCCAGAAAGGTCAGATAACATCCCAACCCAGTCTTCCTTCCTGCAGAAAGTCCTGGTCCTCTCCCCTCCCTAGTAAGCATTAAATCAAATATTCCTTGCTGCATTATTTTTCAAGCTTGATGTTTCTAAATCCAAATACATCTATAAATAATACATACTCTTTATATGTACATTTAAAAGATAAAAAAACCATAACAAAGATACCTGTAGATTCTTATGAATACTAATGGCCTACTTTAACACAGTGGAAACAAACAGCTAATGAACACAGGTAACTGCACATACAAATTTCCCTCCTCTCCATCTCGGGCCCACACACGGTAGGGGAGAGCCTCCTTTCTGAACCTACACCATTCACTGCTTCTCTCCCACGGTCATATTTAGCCATCTGCTTCTTCTTTTATATGTGGGACTGTGTATTTTTTTCTCTTCAGTTTTATATGAAACATTTAGCAATGAAGTAGCAAATAAAAATACTACATATCATCTAGAATTCATATAAAATTGTACTTCGCTTTAACGCATCTAAAGGTTGATAAAAAGAAACACATAGATGCTTCTTAAAGGCTTATTTATATTTTATTACACATTACACACATTGCACTCCATTGAGAAAATTTAGAAGTTGATGTGGTTCTCTCTGTCACGAGCCTGCATGGCAAAGATTACCACATCTACAGAATATTTCTCCTTTGGAACACAATGCACTCATCTTGCAATTACCCCAGCGGACGGAAATGGTGCAAGTAATCCATCAGCACTCACATTGGTCTTTGGAAGGAGGCGTTTCTCTGTGATTTTTTTTTCCCTTAAAGAGTGTACTCTTGGCATTATCTGGCCACCCATCCTTTACCCTGCTCGACGTCTCTTGTCTGCACTCCAGACTGAGGACTGAGATGAACACCGTCACCTCTGAGACACACATGAAAGTCAGCGGGAAGGTGGCGGGATTGGCACCTGCCCCATCACACACCCACAAGCAGAAATAGGGGACAGATAAGGCTGCTGATGGTGCAGGCTAAGTTAACTAAGCTAGTGGGACTGAAGATGGCCAGAGGAGGAGAGTTTCTGGGCCAGAGGGAGTAGGACGACTTCACAGCAGGGCTTAAGCGGGGTCCTGGAGGAAGGTGGTGCCTGAAAGATCAACGTGAAGAAATTCAGAGGGGCAAATGTCTTCATTTGGGCTCCTCCTAAAGGGGATCCTGAAACAAGATTTTGACAGAAGTGGTTTCTTTGGGAGTTGATCCAAGGAAGCACTAGGGTATGAGACAGGACAGGAGAAAAGCCAACTGAGGACGCTTTTGCCATGGGGTCACTGCTGGGGCCAGCTGGGGCTCTGTCCTGCTGGGAACCCTCTGAGAGTCGTGCAGAGTGCACCTGAAATTGTCTCACGATGAGGCGAGGAAGCCGGGGTATTTATGCATTGCCTCCTGCCTCTTGCTGATAGAGGGCTGTTTCTGCAGTATGAATGCCCCCACACCTCCAGCCTGCCTGCTAGGTGCCCTCACACACAGAGAGGCAGGAGGTGAGAGGCGTGAGCAGGTGAGAGGCATGAGCAGGTGATGCCCTGGCTGGAAAATGGGTGCAGCACTGACAGCCTCCTGTTTGCTCTAGCAGGATGCCAGGGCTCCCATCAGCACCCAAACGCTGCCAGGACTAGCTTCAGCACCTTCCTGGTGGCTTTGTTCTCTGGGATCTGACCCTTCTGAGTGAGAGGGGGCCATACCCTGCCTGCCACAGTACGAGACCTCGAGTTTGCTCATCCCCACAGTAGAGGCCGTGTCAAATGTGTTCGTAATGGGATCATCTACTATCTGTCGGCCGTGCAGCAACCATGTATGAAAAATAACATTGAGAAGCAAATTAAGCGATCTGTCTGCAAGCAGCCTGTTTAGATGAGGAAGGGCTGCTGTTGACGAATCTATTAAAATTATACATAAATTATCTAAGAGCACATAGATACATGCTCAGAATGAGAGCATTGATTATGGGCATTTTAAATACAGCCTGGATTAAATCATCTTGTCTCACTTGAATGGAGTAATAATAATTAAGAGAAGAGGTGGGAAAAATAAATTACACCCATCAACTTCCTGACCATAAGAAATGTTCAGACTTTTCATTTTTCAGAATGACGATGCCTTAAAACACAAATACTTCTGGGTGCTGCCAAGAACCCTCCACAAAATGGGTTATAGGAAAGAAGGATCCAGAGAGGCCCCTGGATGCCCTCAAAAAGGGGAAGGGGAAAGTGGGGAGGCCACGTGTGCCTCTCTTGTCAAGCAGAACCTAGATGAGGATCTGAGGCTAGTGTTCTGTTTGAACAGTGGTTCAGAAAGCTTAGGCAGGGGAGTGGGGACGGGAGGGAGTGAAGGAAGTCAACACAGATTGCTCCAAATGAGCAGGCAAGTGGGGCCAATCTCACCCACTGGGGACCTGTGGGAGACAGGGAGGAGGGGGTCTCAGAGTTATCCCCCCCGAAGGCAGCTGGAGTGTTTCCTCCACCTCCCATTTATCATGGGCTGAAAGCTGCTGGCGGGGAATTAATTCCCTGGCCCTTCACGTCTGTCCCAAGTGGTCAGCAAGGGCTCTGGGGGCTCCGGGGGCTCCGGGCTTGCAGAGACCCTGGGGAAATGAGCCTCCAACAAGTGCAAACACACTGTGCTGGAAACTCATAACCTCTGATTACTTGGATGGAATTCAATTTGCCACTTTCAAAAGTCTAACAAAAACAGACTACCCTCCACCCCCATGTAATCACTGAATAATATTATAATCATTTTGCATGGAAATTGCATTATTTCCCTGATGGAAGCATAGGCTTTGAACCTCTCAGGGCTTCACCCGCTACATTACTTTTCAAAGTATGAAGTAGCAGGTTCCAATTATCTGAAAAAAATTTAAAACAGTAACAGCACAATACATAGTGTGATCCAGATGGAGAGAATACACATTTTCCAGGACAGGCACCTTGATTAGTGACTGTGATTGTTAAACACATTTCAGGTAATACAGTGATAATGGACATTAATAGTAGCAATAGTGCTGAAGTGCTGAAATATAATCATTTCTGATTATATTACTCTTTCTTTTTGTGAAGCGCAGTGCATATTTCCAAATGACTCTATGCTCATTAAACTACACAAAAGCCCAACAGCAGATTGGCAGAAAGGTGGTCAGAAGGGGCTTACGGCTCCTTGTGTTTGGAAAGTGGTGAAGGATGTTGGTCAGAGTTCTTGCGGGGCCCAAAAGACTCAGCAGAAGACCCGGTGTTCTGTCTTTGGGCTCCATCAAGAGACCTCTGCCTACATTCACAGACATAGGCTACCAAACAGCCACTACAGAAATGCTTATACGTGCAATATAACAAGCTGAGGGGTTTTAAATGAGAATTTTGTACAGTAAAATTTTTTGTCTATGCCATCTTTTCCCTCCTCCCTCATTAGCCCTCAACAAGGTGTTGCCTTCTATTCAAGATATCGAATATATCCACTGATAGATTCTGTATCAGTAAGAAGACTCTAATTAACACAAATATGATGTAGTATAAATTTTAGTGTCTGTATGTTATTATAAACAGACTTTTGAAGGTCACTTTAACAAGAATCATAACAAATTATTGCAAAGAGACTGTGAATATTTACCTATAAACCAAATGAAAAAAAAAAAAGCCAAAAACACCTGCTTCAACTTGGGATAGAATTCCCAGGGAAGGTCTAATCCTCACATTCAAAAAGTGCCATGACGTTCCAAAAAATTGTCAGAGGACTCAAAAAGTCACTCTAGTGATTAAAAAAAAAAAAACTACACTGAAAAAAAAACATGGGAGGCAAAGCTGCCCAGAACAAGTTTGAATAATTACTCATGAAATATAAGTGGAAATATTTCTAAATTAACATTTTATTTTTATTTATTTTTTAATTAAAGATGGGGTCTTGCTATGTTGCCCAGGCTGCCCTCGAACTCCCGGGCTCAAGCAATCCTCCCACCTTGGCCTCCCAAAATGCTGGGATTACAGGTGTGAGCCACCATGCCCGGTTAGCATTTTATATAGTTTGTAATTTTTAACATTTGAAACTAAAATAATTAAACATTGTAAGTATACTTTTTTGTTGCATCTATATTCAAAAAAATTTAATATATTCAGGTTGGCTAAAAAGTTTTTGGAAAGCTTTTCTTTGGGAAAGTGGGGAACTGCCTTATGTTTGGGCATAAGATTAATTTCTTAGCACTGATGGGCAGTCCTTATCCTGTCAAAGGTCTGATTTAATCCACCAGTCAAAGCCGCTAGGGACACTAGAAGGTCTTCAGTCCAACAACCCCTATATTTTGCAGATGAGAAAACGGAAGCCCAGAGAATTCTCTGTCCTACCACGGAATCATTATAGGAAGAAGCCTAGAAATCAGAGCTGGCTGCCCCTCCAGACTCCCTAGTGACAGAGGCCACAGCCTGGGGCTCTTTCTGTCAGTTGGGGATCATTTGGGGCTGTGAACTCACAGGTGATAGACCAGCCTCAAAGAACCCACCGGCAGCAGGCTAGGCCAGCCATCCAGTGTAGCATAGACAGAGCCTGTTTCCTCTCAGGAGGGAGCTCCCTCCAGATCACAGACCAGGTAGCATTTCCTATGCTTTGCCAGAACTCTGCCAATGTTTTCAAAAAGAGAGAGACACATGTATTTAAAAGCCTACATACATATAAAAATGTGTCTGGGCTCTTCTTTCCAAATGGGAGGAGTGCTGCTGAAATTTGCCAGGTGGGAGTCATCCTTGAGTCCCACCTGTCAGTCACCTGCCTCCCTCAGCAGCTGAGATTCAGACAAAAATCTCTTCTCATGGGTGGAAGGAACACAGGTGCAGCCCCTTCTATTAGGTTGGTGGAAAAGTAATTGCATTTTTGTCATTAAAAAAAAAAAAATGGCAAAAACCGCAATTACTTTTGCACCAAACTAATACCTGGGAACCTCAGTTTCCCTCTCCCTAGGGGCCATCAGTCCTGGGTCAGAAGCGGGTGTCACTTCTCATTAGGGCTCCTAATGCAGAGCAGGGAACCACCGCAATTAAAAACCCTGAAAAGCAGGATCATCGCTGGCTAACGATGCAGCTTTGTGCACTGAGATCTACTTTAAATTTTATTAGGCAAAGTCATCTATTTCCCGCCCCCCTGCCCCCCCAGCAAAGATAAAGAAGGGGTACACTGGATAGTGGGGTGAAGTAGCTGATAGAGAAGGCAGAGCGAGTCATACAAGGTAGAGGGGTCACGTATGGATACCGGGTCCATTTAAAAGGCTTAGGCAGCAAAAAGTGAATTTGACTTCCCATCAGCACAATTCACTCAAGTGTTTCTCTGTCGATAGGGCATTTCAGCCAGAGCACCTAGAAAAATTAACAGCTACGCGAGAACTCCTAATCAACAAGAAGTGGTTACCTCAAAGCCGTACTCTTTAAGGCTAGAGGCATAGAATTTTTAGAGCAGCTGCAAAAGTGTTGAAACATGAATTATGAATTGAGATCCTGTGGCTGCTCAAATCTAGTCCCAGAGCTCAGACCCAAAGTAGGAGACAGAAAGAACCACAGGGCATCTCATGTTTGTTTATACGCCCAGTCTGGGAGCCACATCCTGGCCCTGCAGTTACTACTCACGTAATGTCAAGCAAGCTACCCGACCCCTCTGCCTCAGTCTCTTCAGCTGTGAGATGGGGATAACAAGAGTGTTTCCTCCATTGGGTTGCTGGGAGACTAAACAGGATAATACAATAAAGTACTCAAAAAAGTGCTGGACACAGATTTGATTCTTAACAGATGTTGGTGATTATTGTTTGATTTTGTCAGCCACCGGGACGATCTTTCTAAGACACCAATCTGGTTTCCTCTCATTTGAAATCCTTTAGTGGCCTCTCAGCGCAGACACAAAATCCAAGATACTTGGTATGATATCTATGGCCACAGCTACTCTGCAAACTTCCGCCCTTATCAGTCACGGTGCCTCTGCCCGGAACTGCTGGAAGCTCCTGAGCTTGCACGATGCTCCCTTCACGGGAAGCTCCTGAGTTTGCACGATGCTCCCTTCACGGGAAGCTCCTGAGCTTGCACGATGCTCCCTTCACGGGAAGCTCCTGAGTTTGCACGATGCTCCCTTCACGGGAAGCTCCTGAGTTTGCACGATGCTCCCTTCACGGGAAGCTCCTGAGTTTGCACGATGCTCCCTTCACGGCTCCATGCCTTTCCACACCTGTGGCCTCCACCTGTCTTGTCTGTCCCTCATCTTCTGCTTGGCCAGCTCCACTGTGTGTCCAAGTGCTCATCCTCTGAGCTCCTGTAGTTACCACATGCACATATTAATCTAGCCATTTTCACCCCATTCTTGTTTGGGGCAAGATAATTCTTTGTAATGGGCTTGTTCTGTGCATTTTAAGATGCTTAGCAGCATTTCTAGCCTCCACCCACTAGAGGCCAGTAGCATCCCTTCCCCCCTACATCATGACAAAAATATCTCCAGATAAGTTCCCAGATAAGTGCCCAATGTCTCCTAGGATGGGGAAAGGAACAAAATCATCCCTGGTTGAGAACCACTGCACTAGAAAAAACTATAAGCCCCGTGAACACACAGGCTATAACTTATTCATGTCTCTATCACTGGGACCTGGTCCAGTACTTGGCAAATAATACATGCTCAATAAATGGCTGTTGACAAGGAAAGAAGGAAATGAAATAAAATAAATTTAGTGCTCATAATAAATATCCTACTCAAGGTTGAGATAGGCATGTTGGATCAAGTAATGAATAAATGAATGAGATACACAGTTTGCTAACTGAATAAATACACAGTAGGTATGTTGAACAAATACTTCTCATCATTTCAACATTTGAAAGTAAAATTTTGACTCCAGGATACCCTTCCAGCTTCTCCTCTACCTGTCCTGCTTAGCTCCTCTGCTTCATGGTGAAACTTCTGGAAAGGCTGCCTAGGCCTCCTGTCAACTTCCTCACCTCCCATTCACCCCTTAGCCCATCACTCTATCCAAAGTTCTCTTGTTAAGGTCACCAGTGTCCTCCATGGTGCTAAATCCAATGGACGGTTTCCACTCTTTATCTTGTGTGCTATCCCAGAAGCTTTCAACACTGGTGGCCACTCCTTGAAAGCAGGGATGAAAATCAAGTTTAACAACTGATGTGGCATGGGCACTAACCACTATCACAGTGCATGCACCGACAAGTCAGAATGGTCACTGGGCATCCGTGGCCAGTCTCACTGTGCCTGCGCATACAGGCTGAATGCAAGTCTTGCTTGAAGCCCTTGCTTCCCTTTGCTTCCACAACACAACAATCTCCTGTTTTTAATCCTGCTTCATTGGTCGTCATTTCCCCATTTTGCCGAATCACCCCTGCCTCCCTGGCTATTAGACATCAGAGCTCCTAGAAGATGTTTTGCCAGGCCCTCTTCTCTTTTTTTACTCCATTCTCTTCTTCCCCTGGATGATCTAATCCATGCTCAAGGCTTCAATCACTCTCCATATGCTGATGACTCTCCAAAACATATTCTCTCCAGTCCCACCTCTCCTCTGAGCTCCGGATCTGTACATCTCACCTACTTATCTGACACCTTTAATGTGATGTTTCAAAGGCAACTCAGACTGATCATGCCTCTTCCTCTCACCCAAACAAATCAAAGCAAAGAACTCTGGGCTTCTCCAGTGCTTCCTGTCTCAGAATAGAGCACACCAACCATCTTATATCTAGATGTAACCATCTAATCAGGCACAACCCTGATACCTAGGAGCCATCCTGTGGAGGCTTTCTCCCTCCATACCCAGCCCATTATGACCCCTCGACATACCTCTTACCTCCAGCTACTTCTCTTCACCTCCCCACTGCCACTGTCCTCTCTTGCAATAGTCTTTTCACTTGGTTCTCCTGAATCCTTGCTTGCTCTTCCCCAATCTGCTTTCATGTTGCAGCAAAGTGCAAATCCGATCCTGTTTCTCCTCTGCGTTAGCCTTCACCATTAGACTCAGATAAAGACTGGAGGCACAGCATGGCTCCAAGACCATGCATGCACCAGCTGCATGTCCTCTCCTGCCTCATCTCACCCCTGTCCCCGTTCTCCTCTCCGCTATGACCACTGGCCTTCTTTCCATTCCTGGGATGCTGCACTTGTACTGCAGGGTGTTTCCACATGCTGGTTCCTCTCTCTCTTCACCTGGTTCATGCTGATTCTGATGCCAACAAAAGCAGCAACTCTTGAGGGAAGCAGTTCTTGACGTGAGGTTGCCACATACCATCCTGGCTGTAGAGCTATGAGAACACGTGTTCATAATTATAATTTATGTTTGTGATTATATGATTAATTTCTTGTCTTCCTTGCCTAGAGCATAAGCTCTATGTAGATAGAGGATTACCTCTGTACATAGTCCAGGGGCCAGCACGCGATAGCCTGTGGCCAAATGCAGCTGGTTTTGTCAATAGAGTCTTTCTGGAACAAGGCTACACCCATGTGTTTATGTATTGTCTATGGCTGCTTTTGTTCTACAAGAGTTGAGTAGTTGCAACAGACAAAATGGCCCTCAAAGCCTAAAATACTTACTTTATAGAAACAGTCTGCCAGCCCAGCTCCAGTGGGAGCACCAGTGCCTTGCAGAAAGCAGACATTCAATACAAATGTGTTAAATTAATGAGCAAGTGGGCAAGCTGAATAAATGAGCTTCCAGTAGGTCCCTGGTGTCTGCTGAGTAAGTGACTCAAACGGGCCCTCTCTGGGGCAACGCCGGCCACCTGCAGACGTGCACTGACGCCTATAGCACTGTTACTGACATGCTGACCCTCACGCTTTTCCCCAGGAGCAGGCATCCTTACGTTTTATTTTTTTTTAATTTTTATTTTTTGAGACAGAGTCTCGCTCTGTCGCCCAGGCTGGAGTGCAGTGGCGTGATCTCAGTTCACTGCAAGCTCCGCCTCCCTGGTTCATGCCATTCTCCTGCCTCAACCTCCCGAGTAGCTGGGATTACAGGTGCCCGCCACCACGCCTGGCTAATTTTTTGTATTTTTAGTAGAGACAGGGTTTCACTGTGTTAGCCAGGATGGTCTCGATCTCCTGACCTCGTGATCTGCCTGCCTTGGCTTCCCAAAGTGCTGGGATTACAGGTGTGAGCCACCGCGCCCGGCCTTACGTTTTCTTTAGAGTCCCAGATAATAGGTCTTGCCAGGCAAGGAGGGGACCTTTCATCTGACTGCAGGGACCTTGTTCCTGGTGCTTCAGAGCCTGGGAATTTATTGTTGGCCATCCAGCACCAGTGGGACGCTGTTACAATCCTTGTGACACTCCTAAAAGCAGAACAGGGAATTCCAGAGGCACCCCCACCTCGGGGAACACAAGGTGACGGGTTGAGGGGTGATCCATGGGGCCAAAGGAGTAGCACTCACACCGCAGGGGTCCTGGAGGGGAAGGGCCCCAGAACCATGCCAAAACCACTTAATGGATCAGAATCAAAGGAGAGGAAGATGAAGGAAAGAATTAAGAACCTCTGGCTGTCTCTTCTCTAGGTCCCCACAGCTCAAAGCCACCACTTCTCACAGGAAAGGCCTGCCTTAGTCATTCCAGACTCCAAAGACCTGGCCCCTCTGGGCTCAGAGCCCATATGAGTTCAGCATTGGTCAAACATCATCCTACACCAGTCACTGTGCATGTGAGGGTTACTCTGCACCCTGCGCTCACTCAGGGCACGGATTGCTTTAACCTCCTCCTGTTCCTGTCACCAGATGCCTCTAGCTCCAGTCCCCGGCGTCGGGAAGGCACAGGGCCTGGCACAAGGGAGGGTCTCAGCAGATGCCTGGGGAGGGGCCTCGGAAGGCCTCGACCTCTGCTGCTCCGGCCCTGACACCTGAGATGCCGCCACCCTGCTCCCTTCCATGTAGCCAGGCCTGCTTCTGCGGTGGCCTGTGTGACCTGGAGCAACCCTACCACCTTTTTTCTCCCTCTGCCTGGCTGTCTCCGCAAGTCCCCGTCAGCACACTTCAAACCAGCCTGGGTGCACAAGGGAGACAGCATCTATTGCCAGCCCTGGGTGACTGGACCCCACAAGGGCTGCCATCCTGGAAACATCTCCAAGTGCAGGCATAGCTACCCCCTTTTTTTGGTGGGGGAAGACTCCAGGATCTTAATACTCATAAATAAGTTGTCAAAAATTCCCACAGCAGCGATAACGCTGCATTCAGGCTGAAGCGTGCAATGTGGCAGGAACAGAAAACGCAATGCGAGCATTTACACCCAAGCACAAGTAGCCAGAACCCCGCAGAGCTGGCGCGGGAGAATGTTTCCGGCTCCTCACTCGTGGGTGCTAGACGCACGCATCACGTGGCCTTACTAGAGACGTTTCAGATTTAGTTCTCGGATATTTTGTGAAGATCCACGGAAAAGAGAATGAACACTCCTGAGCATAGCCCAAATCACTGCTCCGAAGATTCTAGAACAAATGTTTCCACCTGCATCTTCCTGGGTTCCTGGCACAGCTCTACAAGCACTCAGCTGCTATGGGGAGCATGCTGGGGGTTCTGTGGAGGTGGCTCCCTCTCAGTCCCATTGCTGTCACTGCCCCATTGCACCAAGGGCCCAGGGCCGGCAGTCTTCTCTGCCTTGGCCCCCTCCAGCTACAACAATGGGGAGGATACTGGCTCCTACCATCAAACAGGAATCTGCTTGGAAGAAAAATCCTTTGCAACAGGCTTGGTGGTTGCATTAATTTGCTAGGGCTGCCATAACAAAATACCAAAGGCTGGGTGGTTTAAACAATGGGAATTTATTTTCTCACAGTTCTGGAGGCCAGAAGTCCAAGATCAAAGTGTCAGCAGGTTTGGTTTCTTCTGGGGCCTCTTCTCCTTGGCTTGCAGGTGGCCGCTTTCTCACGAAGTCCTCACACAGTCTTTCCTCTTTGCATGCACATTCCTGTGTCCCTCTGTGTGTCTTCTTTTTATAAACACACCAATCAGGTTTCACCTTAATCACCCCTTTAAAGGCCCTATGTCCAAATACAGCCACATTCTGAGGGATTGGGAATTAGGGCTTCAGCATGTGAATTTTGGGGAGACACAATTCAGTGCCTAACTGTGGCTGACTAACAAATGAACCACATGGCAGAATTTACAAAATCAGGAGACTCTACTCGGGAGGCTGAGGCAGGAGAATCTTTTGAACCTGGGAGGCAGAGGTTGCAGTGAGCCGAGATGGTGCCACTGCACTCCAGCCTTGGTGACAGATGGAGACTCGGTCTCAAAAAAAAAAAAAAAAAAAAAAAATCAGGAGACCATCCCTCAGCTGACGCTTCTCTTCATCACTCAATGGCAAACTTGTCTGCCTGTCCTCAGGGAAACTTCTTAGAGCAGAAAGGCAAATAAAATTCACAAACCAAAATATCTTACATTAACTGGATTTCCACTTATTTATTTGCTTTTTAACAAAGACCTTCACTAACAACAGACCAAACCAATGTTGATAACAACAGTAATGATAAACCAACCAAATCTAGCAAAACTATTTCAACTTAAAATAGGTTAAAGTTGAAGAACATATTTTAGGCACGAGGTGTAACTCTGAATCATAATACACGGTATTTATAAAATATATTTTCAGGTAACCTTTTTACAGAGCTTTACTAATCAGTCACAAGAGGTCAAGGATTATGGAAGTGGGACAATTTTATGGGTGGGCCAAGATTTTGTTATTGATAATGTCAGCAACTAAAGACAACAGCTCTACCAGAAGGAGCCAGGCCTGAGAAGAGGCCACATTCAAGAGACATCAAAGGGTGATCTTATTTAATTCACAATAAATTTGTCTTCAGAGATGACAAACTGATTGCACAGAGGCTGCAGATGCGAGAGAAATAAATGCCCCCCCCCCAACCCACTGTTCCTGTTTCTACGAGTTGTCAAATTCAGCTGACAGCCCTTAGCCCTCTTTAATGGAAAGGCGCCACGGAATTCCATGCCAAGTGCCAAGGGGTAGACAACCTGGCTGTTTAATCTGCATTCTACACTTGGCACCTGGCATAGTGTCTGGTGGGCAGGAGGCACCGAGGAATATTTGTTGTACAAAATTTAAAAAAAAATCATTGAGGAAGAGATCTGGGCAAGGCGGGGAGAGATTGCAGAAAAAAACGCAAGAACAGAGGAATAGCAAAAAACAGGAACTACAAGCAGAGTGCTTAGCAGTCACGAGAGACTGTGCAAATGAAATAACGAAATCATTATTCAGTCCTCTGATATGATTATACAAGGAGACAGAAAAAGCTGACGAAATAACTGCTTTAAAATGTATAATCTTCATCTTGTAAAAATAAAACCGGGATTTTGTAAAGAATGTATATCAAAGTTATACAAAAACATCAAGACTATACAATTTATAGACAGATTTAAATGGAGTCTGCCTGGGGGTTTAAATAAAATCCATCCTACTAAGCATAAAAATAAAATTCGTTTTAAAACAATTACTCTGTGAAATAAAGAATAAACATACTCGTTTAATCTTTAACTAAGCTCATCCTACAATATAATCCACTAAGTCCCCTCACTATGGGACTGGAATGGGACACAGGACGTGACAGGAGGGGAGGGGAGGTGACAGGCTGAGTTCTGAGGCAAGGCTGTGTCCAGATCTCAAGGGGCCGGGGCGGGAGGGTCAGGGGCCCAGCTTTCTCCTCGGGCAAGGAGAGCCAATTGAGGTCTTAAAGGAAGAACTGACTCAATCGAATGTGTATTTCAAAAGATGACCCACAGGTTAAAAGTCCCTAATGAAAAAAGTAGCCATCAGCTGACACAAATACAACACAATTAGGCTAGGCTCTTCAAAGCAGACCTGGCCTCCTCATTTGCTGTTTTAATGGGCATTTAGTCAGCAAGCGGACCTTGGGTCCCGGGTGTAAGGCTCACTGCCCTGGTTTCAAACGCTGTAAAATCCCCTGGACACAGAAAGTCTCCTCAAATGCAGTTCTAAAACCTCCTCCCCATTTTTAAAGGGTAAATGCAGGTTAAATAAAAAGTGCTAGAGTTTGCCCATTGTAAGTTACCAGTGAGCCCGAATTTTCTTCTAAAAAAAAAATACAAAACAAAATACCAAGTCCCTCTTATTTTATGATCTTGCTTTTTCTAAATATTCATATAAGGTGACCTTTTCAAAGCACGGCTTGGAACTGAAAACATGCTGATAATAAATCGTGTTTCTCTGGCTTAATTGAAGCCCTGCCTTAGCCCGGAGTCAGGGCCGCTGCCGTCCATTTCTCAGGGTGCCCAGAGAAGCAGAGCTCAGTGGGCATCCTGGGGCTGCCAGAACCCAGCAGGGGCTCCGGCTCCAGGGGAAAGGTCCCCCCACTGCACTCCCAGCAAGGTTGTTCCTTCAAGGTGAGCTCTTTCCCCAGAATTCCCATGTGGCAGGAAGGAAAATGCTGCACCCACACTTCTATTTTCAATCGCATTTCTGAAAAGCCTCAATGTGGGAGATGCATTGTTAGCAAAGTCCCACAGCTTCAGGGGAATCCTGCCTGTGGGCCCTTGGCTGGCAACCGCTGCATTTTTCTGTCACACAGGACAGGTAGTTCCCGGGCAGAAGAAGACACAGCTCCTGTGACGTGGTGACTGAGCTACGGTGTGGTTACATCAACCAGCTGTTTATGGTGGGGCCAGGGAGTGTTTGCCAGAGAATTTTCAGAGACACTGTCTAAACCCTCAAGTCAATAAGAACATCGTAGGCATAGACAAGAAACGTTTTTTAAAATTTACTTTTACTTTTTTTTTTTTTAATGAAACATACACTCCTATAAAAGGAGACAACACAGTTCTTGTTCTTTAGAAGTTTACGGTCTCTCAGGGGAGGCAAACCCAGACCCAGACATGGAAAAGACATAAAAACACACAAAGAAACCACAGTCCCAGCATAAAGGAAGTGGTTATGTGGAAGCGCAGCTCAAGTGCTGGGGGATGTGTGTGTGTGTGTGGGCGGGGGGGTGACCAGTCTTCAGAGTCCCTCAACAGAGCCCACTTACTCTCCTAAAGTTCTAGCACCTGAAGACAGAAAGAAGAACGTTCCAAAAGCAAGCCAGTAAGTATGTCAGCGTTGAGGGATACATTTTTCTTTATTTTATCTGGTGGCCTTTCTAAATGTGTTGGTGTCATTTTTACAGTTAACAATGTAAATGCACTGCTGTATATCAGTATATAAGAGATACTTCTAGAAAGAAGACCAACAGGGACAGTGGCTCCTCTCAACGAGGGCTGTGATTATGCTCAGAGTAAAAATTACTGAGGACACAAAGGCGGGGCTGATGGCATGAGTGAACCTGGCAGTCACCCTCCAGTGACGTTCCCAGAACTATTTCAGAGGCAGATGTCACTTTTCTCAGCTTCCCATCTGACACGGTTTGGATGTGTGACCCCTCCAAATCTCATGTTGAAATGAGATCCCCAATGTTGGAGGTGGGGCTTGGTGGGAGGCATTGGACCCTGGAGGATCCCTTGTGAATGGCTCGGCACCATCCCCTTGGTGATGAGTGAGTTCTTACTCAGTTCATGAGACTGCTGGCTGTGACAGTAAGGCATGATGGCTCACACCTGTAATCCTAGCACTTTGGGAGACTGCGGTTGGAGGATGACTTGGGCTCAGGAACTGGAGACCAGCCTGGACAACACAGTGAGACCCCATCTCTAAAAAAAAAAAAAGAAAAAAATTTTTTTTTCTGGGCACGGTGGGACATGCTTGTGGTCCCAGCTATTCAAGAGGCTGAGGTGGGAGGATCAACTGAGGGCAGGAGATTGGGGCTTGAATGAGATGTGATCGCACCACTGCACTCTAGACTGGGTGAAAATGCAAGACCTATTTCAAGAAAAAATAAAAATAAGAGTGGCACCTCCCCCTTCTCTTGCTCCCCCTCTCGTCATGTGACAGCCTGCTCCCTCTTCGCCTTCTGCCCTGATTAGAAGCATCCTGAGGCCTCTCCAGGAGAGGATGCCAGTGCCATGCTTCCTAGACACCCTACAGAACCATGAGCCAAATGAACTCCTTTCTTTATAAACTACCCAGCTTCAGGTACTTCTTTATAGCAACTAAAGAATGGACTAGTACATTACCCAATAGCAGGCCTGTGGGCCAGTTTTCTGGGTCAACGTTGATCCCTTCTACTATTCCTGTTAACTTAAACCCTGAGGAGTAAAATGGACTAATGTGCCCGTCCAAAATCCCTCCGTCTCCCACCTGGAGGACACTCACAAGGAAACAGCTGCTTTCACTGGGAGCTGGGGAGAAAAACTTTCTATTCCCTTAAAGGCAGAACCTCAGAGCCTCAAGTGGGGCCATGAGGCTGCCTTGGGAAGAGGGAGATGCAGGAGGCTCTAGACTTGGGTGAGAGCTTGCAAGGCGCATGCACAGCTTCCCAGTCCCCATGACCCAGGTGCAATTCATATGGGAAGAGCTGTCCACACTGCCACTGATGTTTGCTGTGGGAATGAAAACAAACAAGCAAGGCTCCCCAAACAGAGCTAGAAAGGCCTTCAGGGAACACAGGACAAGAAAGATGATGAGAACTCACATTCCCTGGGTCCCTACTGTGTTCCAGGCACAGCTCAAATACAGCCTTTACATGGATTTACCCAGGGAGTTCTATGGGAGTGATCACTGGAATTCTCTCTGTATTAAGATGAGGAGACAGACACAGAGAGGTTAAGTCACTTACCTAAAAACAAACCAGTTTTTAGGTAAGTGGAGTAGGATGTGGAGCCAGGATTCAAACTCAGCCATCTGGCTTCAAAGACAAACTTAAAAAAATTTCCTTAGTTTATGCTAAGTGAAAGAATTAAGTCACAAAAGACCGCATTATTGTATAATTCCATTGATATCCACTGTCCAGAACAGGGAAAGCTATAGACATAGAAAGTGGATCTGTCAGAAATCTGTTTGAGTGAAAAAGAAAAAAACAATAGATTAGTGGTTGCCAGTGATTGGGGGAAGGAAAAATGGGGATTGACTGCTAATGTGTATGGGGTTTCTTTTTGAGATGATGAAAATGCTCTAATATAAGCCATAGGGATGGTTGCACATATCTGTGACTATATTAAAAACCACTGAATTGTATACCTTAAATGGGTAAATTATAGGGTATGTGAACTATTTATCAATAAAGCTGTTGTTATTATTATTATTAACTTAGTTAAAACACATCTCCTGAGAAACAAACCAGAGGATACACAACTCTGCTTTCACTGGGGACCTGGGGAGACAGTGCAACTTCACTTCAAAGGGAAACGGATCCAAAAGAAAAACGGGAGGAATGTCCATTTTTTTTTAGTCTTTCAATATCGAAGCTGCCAATTGAATCTCTAGGGCTGAAGTCTTGGGGGCAGCCCCTAATGTTCTGCAGAGAAGGGATCAGGGCCCTAAGGAACCCCAGGATCCTGGCTGCATGGACGACCTTGGCTTCCTGATCTGTCTCACAGCACAGCCACCGGAGAGCCCTATAAGGTTATTAAATATGAATTAAGAAAATGTAAGATGTGCAGGCCGCAATCTAAGCTATAGAAAAACAACCCTGACCCTTCACATGATCCCATGAAGCAGGGTGAACCATCTCGGCCTGGCGGCACGTCTTGCCCAGCTAAGCGGCATGACCTGGGAAATCTTGGGAGAGTCGTGCTCTGTCTCACCGAGAGGCGAGATGAAAGCTCCAACAAGGCCGGTGCTGCCGTCATGATGAACTTGCTTCATGTTCCTCCACTTGTGTTCTGAATTGCAGACTTGTTTTCCCCGGTATTTGTCACATTGAGGACATGAGCTTTTTAATTGGCGATCGAGCTTGCCGCTTGAGATGTCAAAAGACTGTCTTTGTTGAGAAGCAGCTCTGTTAAGCACAGGCCCCACAAGTTAATGGCTGTGTCCCTGAGTCAGCTGGGGAGCCCTGGCTTGAGCACAGAATAAAGCCAGCCAAAAGAACAGATGATTTCATTTAGGCAGAGCCTCGCTAGATAGCCCCTGGGTGCTGAATTCCATATTAGATTTAACATGCAGGGTTCCAGAGGGCTTGGTTCTCCACGCCTCTCATCCAAGCTATGCTTTCCAAGGAGTTCAGTTGTATGGGCCATTGGAGAGGTTAAACATTGTGCCTAAGGTTCTCTAATTAGTTGATGACCCCAACTAATGGCCTCTCTGTATCCAGAGAGGGCAACTTTGAGGTACCCTTTCCACCATGACCTTGAGCATGACTGTGTGACTGGCTTTAGGAAAATGCATGCACATTTCAACTTCCTCTTTCATTTCTCAGAAATTGCTATAAGAACACACTGGCTGGACTATTGGAGGATGAGAAACCAGCCTACTTAGTGAGAGATCAGCCAGCTAACCCCAAGCATGTGACAGGTCCCAGCCAAGATAAGCAGAGCCACCTAAGTGACCTGCAGCTGACCACTGATGCATGAGTGAACCCAGCTGAGAAGAACCAGCCAACCTATAGACTAGGCGAACAATATTACATGTCTACTGTTTTAAGTCAGTGAATTTTAGGGTGACTTGTTAGGCAGCATTGTTAGATCAAAGGGTAATGGATACAACCAGTCAATAGCCATTAGATAGACACCATCAAAATCAGTCCTCAAAGGATTCAGAGCCAGCTCAAGAGTCCTCCTTGTACCATACAGACACATGGACTAGAGCTGTGAACCTGCTGAAGAAACAGAATATGGAGAAGACATGTTTGTCATGGAGTCCAGCCAGCCCCAAGCATGAGCTCACGGGATTCCTGTGAGGCAGTACACTTCACAGAGCTTAGATGCTGGGAACACACAGCCTGGCTTCAAATCCTGGATCCACCACTTCCTGTGTAAGCTCTGGGAAGTTATTTAATGTGTGGGTCTGCAGACTGGCTCAATCAACATCCATTGGACCTTCCTCCCCATGTGCCTTGCTGTATGCCAAAGTTGGCAAAATGACAACGACCTATTCCTTTGCACCTCCAGGTTCTAGATGTGTTTAAGATTCTACCAAGCAGACGTGTTTGCATATGCTTTGAGAAGCTAAGGAAATGAGGTGGAGGCCATACGGTGGTAGATTCTGCCGTTCTCTGGCAAGCACAGGCAAGGAGACCAGTCACCAGTTTTGCAGGTGTGCTGAAAAGCAGATTGCAGGTGCAGCAAAAGGCATGCCAACTCTGAAGCAAACAGTCATGGTCACCTCTCCTGGTCCCCAGAAGGTGGTTGAGTGGGTGTTCCTGGGGTTGACAGTTCCTGCAATAGAGTCCTGATTCTCAACTTTCCTGACTGTGGAAGCAGCAATCTTGAGGGTCCAGCCATGCAGTGTCCTGTTGAGAATCACTCCTGGAAGCTGAGCCTCCATCCTGCTCCTCTAGGCCCTTCTAATTCTGGAAACTCCCAATCCCCTCTATTAATCTTTTCTTAAATAGCTGGTGAGGTTTGTGTTTTCGGGCATCTGAACTGATATGGATTCACTTAACCTGCATGGACCTCAGTTTCCTCATGGTTTAAGGGATGGTGATATCAACTGCCTCAAAGGGTTGTCACAAGGATCTGATTAGATTACCCATACTGAGCACTTAGAACAGTGCCTGGAATAAGGAAAGTGTTTCAAATCTTATTATTCTTAGATTTGTAAATCCAGAAACCTGCTGGTGTCAGAGCACCTGCAATTGACAAACTCTGGGGACTGGGGACATCTAGTATATTCTGATTTGGGAACCTCTTTCCTAGTCTTCTCACACGTCCTGTGGATCTTCCAGGAATGGGGAAGTCCTTAGTATACAAAGTATTAGTATACTAATACTTTGAGTATTTTCAAAGTCTTGGGCCTCATATACTTTTACTTACCTAGGCATGGGTCATTTCTATGCACGAGCTATCCTGACAGTCATATGACATGAAATTACAGGCATCTCCAGCCTCTGATTTCCTCCAGGCTCATAATCCCTTATCACAAGTCCTTGGGACCAGATATGTTTTGAAATTCAGATGACAAACGTCATATATCATGATACTCCCAGCAGGTTCTGGGACAGTACTCCAGAATCAGACACAGTCATATTTCCACAGCAAAAGGTATAAGGATTCACATCTATTGGGATAAATAAGGACTATAAATGGCCTCATGTCAGTTTAGGCTGGGTTTTGCTGTCAAATGATTTCCTGTTTGCAGAGCCTTTTCTATTTCAGAATTTTGGCTAAGGGATATGGGCCCTTCGGATAAGAAATAATGACACAATAACGGTTTAGACACTGAGACTCAGGGGAGCCTGGTCATCCAGGAAGGGACAACTGGGCCTCAGCCAAGGCCATTATCAGCGTTAGGAAGATGCAGCAGACTGATTTGTGATGCAGGAATTTTTATATTTACATGGATGCTTGATCAAATACAACAAATGCAGAAATTTCCCAGGCAAGGAGAAAGGTGCAGAGGCATTGATGAAGCAGGAAGCAAGGCCAATGCAGCCACCTTAGGTACCAGCAGAGCTCAGGGCTAGGTACTGAAGCAAATGGGGGCCTAAAGGGAACAAAGCAGTCAAGGCCTCCTCGAGGTGGTGTGGCCCATGCACAAGTTCAATGGGCACTGGACCAGGGAGAAGTATCATGAAGTGAGGGAGATAACACGTCATGTACAAAAACAAGTGACTGGATGGCAGTGGATGCCTGCAGAAAGGTCTGCATTTGGTCCCAGGGACAATACAGGATTTACTCCAGCACACGTCCACGATGGCCACCATGAGTCAAGGTGCAGATGTGTTCAACAAAGTCAAAAGCAAATGCTTCAAGCTGACTGTGGCATCTAACACACGTGTCTGAACCTGTATCAGCTTGAAAATCCTTCTGCATTTATTCCTATCTCACTGAAAACGATTAGATTTAAAGGATGAAAGCTGCTTGACCTGGAAGAAAAGGTGTTTTTCTGCATTAGGTAAACCTGTCCAAGAAAAGTTCCTTTGAGGAGTGCAGTAAATCCAGCCTGAAATCAAGGACTCTGCACCGTTTCCATATTTCACTGCAGCAGAAAGTCATCAGTCTTATGTGATTCCCTTCCTTCCTTCCCTCCTCTTTCGACAATATATACTCCAGAACTGCTTGCAAAGATGCACATAATTTAAAAAGATAAAAGGAAAATAATGTCAGGAAAGCTGGGTAAAAAGAGGAAAAATAAAATCAGGCGTGAGAGAATGATGTAGTGAATTCTCAACACCTTGGGTTTTACAGGGCTTTTCCTTAGCACATCCCTCAGTACAAGGCCATGACCTGTCACTAATAAGCCTTGTTTATCAAAAGCAATTCCACAAGGAGCCAAAATAGCACAGATTGGTACACAGTACCCTGACAGTCCAGCAAGAGCCAGGAAGAGCTTTTAGAGTATCCACAGGAATAGACGTGCCACTCCACGCTGCAGGCTAAGTGCTCAGTTTTGGGCTTTCACCATCTTGGGGTGGGCTGGCTCTCGACTATGGAAGAATATGACAGAGGCACACTGTCCTGGGTCAAGATGAACTTCAAGAACCTTGGGTCTGACAGATCAATGGAAGAGAAGAGAAAGTTGGCAAATAGACCCCATGTGGAAATTTGGTGTATGATAAAGGTAGCATCTCAAACCTTTGGGGGAAAGATGCATAACTTTTTGGAAAAACAAAACTGGATCCCTATCATACCATTCACCAGAAAAAAAAAAAAAACTCCAAATGCATTAGACAGCTAACTAAATAATGAAGTTCTATGTGTACTAGAAGAAAACATGAGTGGACTGTTCCTTAATCACCAGGGAGTGGAAAAGTCTTTCTGATTACGATTTGAAATACAAGACTGATAAAATAAAAATAAAATAAATGCATTGCAAAAATATAAGTTAAAAAATGAAAAAACGAAGAAAGGAAACCATTTGCAATTTAGAGAAAAAGGCTTAATCTCTCTAATTTAGAAATTCTCTGAAAGGAAAAAGACCAATCACATGACAGAAAAATGAACAAAAGATGTACACAGTTTATAGAAAGAAAAGGGGAGATGGCCCTTAGACCTATGAAAAAAATGTGTAACCTTACTCATAAGATAAACATACAACAAAACAGAAACACTCATTTCTCATTCATCATATTGGCAAAGAGCCTTAAGTTTGACAAGCATTTTGTGGTTAAGGCTGTGGAGACACGTGTTCTCACACATTGCTGAGGGAATGCAAAATGGTACAGCCCCCAGAGAGGAGAATGTAGCAATATCTGACAAATTACACCTGTTTTCATCTTTTGACCCATCAATCCCCCTTGCTGATATGCCTTCACATGTACGAAATGACATGCACTAGAGATTACTCATTGCAGCACTGTCTGTGCAAGAAAAAGACCGGAAACAACCCAACAGCCTATGGACAGAGAATTTGCTGAATCCCTTCCGGGGTAGCCACACAGTGGAGAAGTACATGCAATGGACAAAGAGGATGGCCTTGAAGGGCTGGTATGGAGGGATTTCAAGGCTATATTAAAAAGCGGACAATGCAGGGTGAAGAAGAATATAGAGGACATGCTGCTGCTCTTGTCTAAGAAAGAAGGAGAAATAAGAATGAGTATGAAATCTTTTCTTTTACAAAAAGATGCACTGGAAAGAAAAAAAACTAGCAAAATGGTTATCTATATAGGAGAATGGAGCAGAAAAGACAGGAATGGAATCAAGATTTCTATGAGGTTACTGTATTATATGGTTTTGACTTTTAAACCACATATATAAAGTCTTCACTTAATGCCCTTGTTAAGGTTCTTGGAAACTGCAACTTTAAGTGAAATGACATACAGCAGGTCCTGGAATAATATCATTTCATTCAACATTGTCTTATAACACTGTGAGGAAAAAAATTGGTTTTGTTATATGTCATTTCATTTAAAGTCACAGTTTCCAACAACTTATGGATGACATTGAGGACCTGCTATATAATGTTTTATATTTTCTAAGAAACAAAATTAATTTTAAAAGGGGGGTAAACCTTACAGTCCAAAACACATGAAGCTAACTGTTTATAAAATTGATAACATAATCACACAAAGAATTTTTTCAAATGACTTTTCAACTCATTTGAACTCTGATCGTACATCTGTAACGGGATATATTCTAAGGACAAAAAGAAAGTGCCAAGAAAAGCTTCACTTGGTAGTTTTATTGTTAGTAATAATATTGGTGTTATAAGTTTAAGACTATTTTATGTGAATATATGTATTATACACAAACAGGTAAACATGTTAACGCACAGGAATCAAAATTTCAGTTTGATGCTGGGTGCAGTGGTTCACGCCTGTAATCCCAGCACTTTGGGAGGCTGAGGAGGGTGAATCACCTGAGGTCAGGAGTTTGAGCCCAGCCTGGTCAACATCGTGAAACCCCATCTCTACTAAAAATACAAAAAATTAGCTGGGCATGGTGGCAGGCGCCTGTAATCTCAGCCACCCGGGAGGCTGAGGCAGGAGAATCGCTTGAACCCGAGAGGCGGAGGTTGCAGTGAGCCAAGATTTTGCCATTGCACTCCAGGCCTGGGCAACAAGAGCAAAAACAAACAAACAAAAATTCAGTTTGAGAAAACATATAGAAATATATATAAAAAGGTAAAAAGTTAAGGAAAAAAATCTTGAGTTCTAAATCTGAATTCAAAACATCAGTTTGAACGCATAATTTATTAACTATGTTTCCTAGCTCTATCCACTAAATGGCCTTAGAACGAGCATCCCTAGTGCCTAAGAGGTAAGTCCCACTAAAAAGAACCAGGATTCTTTAGAAAAATCACGGATTCTATGCCTGAAACAATAAAAATACAATTTGTCTGGGGCATATTGTGCCTAAAAGCAAGGAAGAACTCAAAGAGAGACATGAGGTCTTCCTTACAAAAACTTTCAGCTAATAAATGTAGAAAGAATGATAGGATTTTAAAAATCACCATTTTACAATACCCCTGCTACCTCACATAAGGGTTACCAAGGGATGCAAAAGCCATTAGGTGACAAGTTCTTGGGAAACAGCATATCTGCTCCTTGCCAAAGTACCACCCGAACAGATTACTTGCTAATTACAGAAGGAAAAAAATCTACCTTCACAATGGCATCGCCTCATGTTCATCCCTTTAACCTAATGATTAAACCAAGTCAACTACAGGGGACACCTGACATTATGTGCTGGAAGTGATGCCATATGCAGGACATGGTATCATTTATAAAAATATTCTTACGAAAAGTGCATAACCTGCATCTAGTCTAGCCTTTGAATATAACTTTCAATTTACAGGAGATACAGGGGATAGAAGAATAAGTTAGACAGCACTGCAAGGAAATAACTGGGCAAATGTACTATGTGGGACATTCTGCAAGATAACTGGCCTGGTCTCTTCCAACAGTCAATGCTATGAAAGGGAAAAAAGTGGAGGGTTATTTTAGAGTAAGAGACTAGAGGGACAATAACTAAATGTAACATATGAATAGATTTTTAAAAAACAATTCTAAAAATTTGTTTTGGCCACTCGGGAAATTTGAATGTAGACTGTATGTTAGATGATTGTGGAGAATTTTTTATCTTATTAGGTGTAATGACCACTGTGGCAAAGCAGGAGAATGTCCCTATAGTTAGGACACATGTGCTAAAAAGTACTTAGGGGTGAAGGTACTTGATGTCTGAAACTTTCAAACAGCTCAGCAAAAAATATACATAGATATGCATGCACATATAAATTAAGCAAATATGGCAGAATATTAATAATTTTTGAATCTAGGTGGTAGGTATCCCTAAATGCCCTGTACTATTCTTTAAACTTTTCTCTATGTTGGAAATTTTTCATAATAAAAATTGGGGAAGGGAAAGGGGAGCTTACAGTGGCTCCAACACAAGGGCCTGAAGTGGTATCACATTCAGCGTGGCAGCTACAATTTCAACTTGGAACCAGTGGGAAGCATAGATAATGGAACATCCACCTTGAACAGAAAGACTGTAAGGCATCCATAAAATATTTAACTCTGGGCAAAACTACTTCCTGAAGAAAATGACATGAGATTCTGGTCTGTCAAATGTCTGCCAGTTTGAATAATGGACTGTTACTTTGGTGACACCCCCAACCAAACATGGCTCCTAGATCCATGCCTCTGTGTATGGCCCCTCCCACACAGACTCTGGGGTTGTACATGTGCATTTGTTTCCTCTCGCTGCTGTAACAAATTACCACAAACTCAGTGGCTTAAAACAACACAGATTTATTACCTCATGGTTCTGGAAATCAGCAGTCTAACAAGAGTCTCACTTGGCTGAAGTAGAAGTGTTGGCAGGGATGTTCCTTCTGGAGGCTCCGGGGAAGGCCCATTTTCTTGCCTTTTCTGGGCTCTAAAGCCTGCATGGATTCCTTTGCTTGTGGCCCCTTCCTCCATCTTCAAAGACAAACTCTGCATCACTCTCATCATTGCTCCTGTCATCACATCTTGTTCTCTGACTCTGACTCTCCTGTCTCTGTCTTTCACTTGTAAGGACCTTGGGCTGGACAAAGTGGCTCACACCTCTAAATCCAGCACTTTGGGAGGCAGAGATGGGAGGATCACTTGAGCCCAGGAGTTTGAGGCCAGCTGGGGCAACACAGGGAGACCCCATATCTACAAAAAATTTAAAAAAATTAGCTGGGCATGGTGGCACAAGTCTGTGGTCTCAGCTACTTGGAAGGCTGAGGTGGGAGGATTGCTTGAGCCTGGGAGGTAGGAGATAGAGACTGCAGTAAGCCGTTTTTGTGTCACTGCATTCTAGCCTACAAGACCCTGTCTCAAAAATTAAAAATAAAGGACCCTGGTGATTACACTGAGCCCACCACATAACCCAAGATAGCTTCTCCACCTCAAGAGCCTAACATTAATCACATCTGCAAAACCTCTATTGCCATGTAAGATAACATACTCAGTTTTCTGCGATTAGGACATGGACATCTTTGGGAGACCATTATGCTGCTCATCATACTATGTGACTGGTTTTAGCCAATGAGATATGACCAAACATGATACAAGCAGAGGCTGAATAAGTGCTTGCACAGTGGGGCTTGTTCTCTTAGAACTTTTAGTATCCTTTATTTCAGAATCCAACCATCATGCTGTGAAAAGCCCAACGTAACCACATGGAGAGGCCACATGGAAAGGAACTGAAGCTGTGGTCAACAGCAGCAGTTGAGTTCCCAGTCAACAGCCAGCTCCAACTTTCTAGTCATGTGAGTGAGCCATCTTGGAAGTGCATCTTGCAACCTCAGTCAAGCCATGTTAGCTGGCATCATGAAGAGCAAACATGAACCATCCTTGCTGAGCCCTGCCCAAACTGCAGAATTCTGAGCAAATAAATGTTGTTCTTTTAGGTTACTAAGTTTTTTTTTTCTCTGATTTCTTTTATTATTAATTATTATTATTATTCTTATTATACTTTAAGTTTTAGGGTACATGTGCACAATGTGCAGGTTAGTTACATATGTATACATGTGCCATGCTGGTGTGCTGCACCCATTAACTCATCATTTAGCATTAAGTATATCTCCTAATGCTATCCCTCCCCCCTCCCCCCACCCCGCCACAGTCCCCAGAGTGTGATGTTCCCCTTCCTGTGTCCATGTATTCTCATTGTTCAATTCCCACCTATGAGTGAGAACATGCGGTGTTTGGTTTTTTGACTTTGTGATAGTTTACTGAGAATGATGATTTCCAATTTCATCCATGTCCCTACAAAGGACATGAACTCATCATTTTTTATGGCTGCATAGTATTCCATGGTGTATATATGCTACATTTTCTTAATCCAGTCTATCATTGTTGGACATGTGGGTTGGTTCCAAGTCTTTGCTATTGTGAATAGTGCCGCAATAAACATACGTGTGCATGTGTCTTTATAGCAGCATGATTTATAGCCCTTTGGGTATATACCCAGTAATGGGATGGCTGGGTCAAATGGTATTTCTAGTTCCAGATCCCTGAGGAATTGCCACACTGACTTCCACAAGGGTTGAACTAGTTTACAGTCCCACCAACAGTGTAAAAGTGTTCCTATTTCTCCACATCCTCTCCAGCACCTGTTGTTTCCTGACTTTTTAATGATTGCCATTCCAACTGGTGTGAGATGGTATCTCATTGTGGTTTTGATTTGCATTTCTCTGATGGCCAGTGATGATGAGCATTTTTTCATGTGTCTTTTGGCTGCATAAATGTCTTCTTTTGAGAAGTGTCTGTTCATATCCTTTGCCCACTTTTTGATGGGGTTGTTTGTTTTTTTCTTGTAAATTTGTTTGAGTTCATTGTAGATTCTGGGTATTAGCCCTTTGTCAGATGAGTAGGTTGTGAAAATTTTCTCCCATTTTGTAGGTTGCCTGTTCACTCTGATGGTAGTTTCTTTTGCTGTGCAGAAGCTCTTTAGTTTAATTAGATCCCATTTGTCAATTATGGCTTTTGTTGCTATTGCTTTTGGTGTTTTAGACATGAAGTCCTTGCCCATGCCTATGTCCTGAATTGTAATGCCTAGGTTTTCTTATAGAGTTTTTATGGTTTTAGGTCTAATGTTTAAGTCTTTAATCCATCTTGAATTAATTTTTGTATAAGGTGTAAGGAAGGGATCCAGTTTCAGCTTTCTACATATGGCTAGCCAGTTTTCCCAGCACCATTTATTAAACAGGGAATCCTTTCCCCATTGCTTGTTTTTTGCATGTTTGTCGAAGATCAGATAGTTGTAGATATGCGGCGTTATTTCTGAGGGCTCTGTTCAAAAAAAGGCAGGGGTTGCAATCCTAGTCTCTGATAAAACAGACTTTAAACCAACAAAGATCAAAAGAGACAAAGAAGGCCATTACATAATGGTAAAGGGATCAATTCAACAAGAAAAGCTAACTCTCCTAAATATATATGCACCCAATACAGGAGCACCCAGATTCATAAAGCAAGTCCTGAGTGACCTACAAACAGACTTAGACTCCCACACAATAATAATGGGAGACTTTAACACCCCACTGTCAACATTAGACAGATCAATGAGACAGAAAGTTAACAAGGATACCCAGGAATTGTACTCAGCTCTACACCAAGCGGACCTAATAGACATCTACAGAACTCTCCACCCCAAATCAACAGAATATACATTTTTTTCAGCACCACACCACACCTATTCCAAAATTGACCACATACTTGGAAGTAAAGCTCTCCTCAGCAAATGTAAAAGAACAGAAATTATAACAAACTGTCTCTCAGACCACAGTGCAATCAAACTAGAACTCAGGATTAAGAAACTCACTCGAGACTGCTCAACTACATGGAAACTGAACAAGCTGCTCCTGAATGACTACTGGGTACATAACGAAATGAAGGCAGAAATAAAGATGTTCTTTGAAACCAACGAGAACAAAGACACAACATACCAGAATCTCTGGGACACATTCAAAGCAGTGTGTAGAGGGAAATTTATAGCACTAAATGCCCACAAGAGAAAGCAGGAAAGATCCAAAATTGACACCCTAACATCACAATTAAAAGAACTAGAAAAGCAAGAGCAAACGCATTCAAAAGCTAGCAGAAGGCAAGAAACAACTAAAATCAGAGCAGAACTGAAGGAAATGAAGACAAAAAAAACCCTTCAAAAAATTAATGAACCCAGGAGCTGGTTTTTTGAAACGATCAACAAAATTGATAGACCACTAGCAAGACTAATAAAGAAAAAAAGAGAGAAGAATCAAATAGACACGATAAAAAATGATAAAGGGGATATCACCACCAATCCCACAGAAATACAAACTACCATCAGAGAATACTACAAACACCTCTATGCAAATAAACTAGAAAATCTAGAAGAAATGGATAAATTCCTCGACACATACACTCTCCCAAGACTAAACCAGGAAGAAGTTGAATCTCTGAATAGACCAATAACAGGATCTGAAATTGTGGCAATAATCAATAGCTTACCTACCAAAAAGAGTCCAGGACCCGATGGATTCACAGCCAAATTCTACCACAGGTACAAGGAGGAACTGGTACCATTCCTTCTGAAACTATTCCAATCAATAGAAAAAGAAGGAATCCTCCCTAACTCATTTTATGAGGCCAGCATCATCCTGATACCAAAGCCTGGCAAAGACACAACCAAAAAAAGAATTTTAGACCAATATCCTTGATGAACATTGATGCAAAAATCCTCAATAAAATACTGGCAAACCAAATCCAGCAGCACATCAAAAAGCTTATCCACCACGATCAAGTGGGCTTCATCCCTGGGATGCAAGGCTGGTTCAATATACGCAAATCAATAAATGTAATCCAGCATATAAACAGAACCAAAGACAAAAACCACATGACTATCTCAATAGATGCAGAAAAGGCCTTTGACAAAATTCAACAACCCTTCATGCTAAAAACTCTCAATAAATTAGGTATTGATGGGACGTATCTCAAAATAATAAGAGCTATCTATGACAAACCCACAGCCGATATCATACCGAATGGGCAAAAACTGGAAGCATTCCCTTTGAAAACTGGCACAAGACAGGGATGCCCTCTCTCACCACTCCTATTCAACATGGTGTTGGAAGTTCTGGCCAGGGCAATTAGGCAGGAGAAGGAAATAAAGGGTATTCAATTAGGAAAAGAGGAAGTCAAATTGTCTCTGTCTGCAGACGCCATGATTGTATATCTAGAAAACCCCATCATCTCAGCCCAAAATCTCCTTAAGCTGATAAGCAACTTCAGCAAAGTCTCAGGATACAAAATCAATGTACAAAAATCACAAGCATTCTTATACACCAATAACAGTCAAACAGAGAGCCAAATCATGAGTGAACTCCCATTCACAATTGCTTCAAAGAGAATAAAATACTTAGGAATCCAACTTACAAGGGATGTGAAGGACCTCTTCAAGGAGAACTACAAACCACTGCTCAATGAAATAAAAGAGGATACAAACAAATGGAAGAACATTCCATGCTCATGGGTAGGAAGAATCAATATTGCGAAAATGGCCATACTGCCCAAAGTAATTTATAGATTCAATGCCATCCCCATCAAACTACCAATGAGTTTCTTCACAGAATTGGAAAAAACTACTTTGAAGTTCATGTGGAACCAAAAAAGAGCCTGCATCACCAAGTCAATCCTGAGCCAAAAGAACAAAGCTGGAGACATCATGCTACCTGACTTAAAACTATACTACAAGGCTACAGTAACCAAAACAGCATGGTACTGGTACCAAAACAGAGATATAGATCAATGGCCACTAAGTTTTAATGTGGATTTTTGCACAGCAATATATAAACTGAGACAGGCTGTAGGCTGTACGCCAAGTGAATGCTGGAGAGCCTATACCGAAAGTGTTGACTTCGAATTTAGCCTAAGTATCCAGCAACCCTTCT
The DNA here is from genome assembly GCF_000001405.40 of Homo sapiens. Lineage (NCBI taxonomy): Eukaryota > Metazoa > Chordata > Mammalia > Primates > Hominidae > Homo > Homo sapiens. The sequence goes on along the minus strand of NC_000002.12, from coordinate 23,437,517 downwards.
TTATGGTAATAATTAGATAGCAGAACCTGTTGTCTACTAATTCCTTTCTGAATTCATGAAAACAAAAACCAGGTCACCTACGTAAAAGAAAATGCCTTTCATCCTAGTCTCTCCAGCAAGAGGGATGCCACCTTCAACTCATCCAAGAGTGGGATTATATCATTAAGGACCTCATTAAAATGATGGAAGGCCACAATACCACACCAAGTTGCAATCTCATAGATCAAGAAACCAATCTCAATTTCATGGAACTAAATGAGGTTCTGTGAGATAAACTGCTGCTCCCAGATAAACTAGATTAGAATGACTGTTGATTTTACCCAAGTCTGTTGTTTTAAATAACTGATTCAGATCCTGGTTTGCATAGACTTGGCCTGCTTAGTACACTTTGCCCACACATTCCGCTGAACCCGGGCTTTCAATCAAGCCGGTGGCCCAGCTAAACCCTAGCAAAGGGGAATGATTATCAGAGAGTCTGGATCTTGCCAGGAGCTTTTTCTACACTGGATGGAAACCAGTTCCTTTCTGGTGTGTGGGAATTTGTGTTTTCGGTTTCATTACTCTTGGAAAATATGCTTAAAATCATTCATCCTCCATTTCCTTCCTTCTGGTCTGCAATGCTCCTAGCAACTGCAAGGGAATAAACAGACGCAGCTTCTAGTCAGAGAAACAGCTCCCAAGTCTAAGGCATCTCTTTAATTTATAGCTATGGGCATGAAAACGTTGACCTAGCAAGACATGGGCTTAAATGGTGCCCCAAAAGCAAATAGCAAAAATCATTCTCATTTTCTCCACGGCTGCGGAAGCCAGGCTGCATCTCCAATGCATTTTCAAGTCCCCACGTAACTAACTTGACCTGAGACCCTCAGAATCGTCAGGGCTCCTCTTCCCGCTTCGCAGCGCTGAATGCGCACCTGTGGCTTTGTACTGCTAACGACAAGAGCCGCCCAGCAGATCCACACCTGTGACTCATCTGCTTTTATCTGTGCAGCTCTCGGTGCCTAAACCCACAGACAATGAGGAGAGTCATTCTGCTCCTGAAGCACAGGAAGGCTTCCAGGCGGTGTCTGTGGCTATCACCACACAATTAAGACCATATTTTGAGGGAGAAAAAAATGTGGCTCTCAAAGATGGCTTTGCAACTCCAGCTTTTGAGAAACTGAAGGTAAACTTCTCTGGTGCTGAGACACACACACACACACACACACACACACACACACACACACACACACACACAAAGCTGATTGGCTATTTACTTCTCTTAAATCCATGGATGTTTACTGAGTATCAGCAACATGCTCAGCACCATCTAGGCACTGCGGGGAATACGCAAGAAATACAGAAACATCCCCATGCACTGAAAGCTCAGTCATCTGCAATAAAGCTATAGAAGGGGAAGCAACAAGAAGAAACCCACAAGTTAAGGAAACAGCCATCACAGAGGCTGTATACTTTAAGAGGAGTTGGAGATTTGAAAAGCCCGGGGCAGAAGATTAGAAATAGCCGGAGGATGAGGGTCTCGAAAGCTCTAGGACTGAGAAATGACAGCTGAAAGCAAAGAAGGGAAGAGCCAGGAGGGAAACAACAGCTTTCCTTTTTAAAAAAAAAAAAAAAAAAAGAGAGAGAGAGAGAAAGAAAGAAAACCCAGAACTAGCTAAGCACAACAGCCTGGGGCCATTCATTGCTGGGGCAAAGGGTTCCAAACACCTCACCAGGCCTTGAGGCAACTGACAATAAGGATAGCTGCAATTATTCACAGCAACTATCCCATCGCACTATGCTTACAATATGTTCTACTTCCTTTCCTGAAAAAGGCAGAGGGTGATGTTCAGTGGTCACTATTTAGAAAGCTTTCCATCCAAAAACAGTTAATTTAAGTTCGGGCATTTAAATGAATAAACTTAGTGGAGCAGAAAATTGATTTACGTGCAACCGCAGCTCATTCCCCAAACTTGGGAGCTGAATTTGACTTCCCCTTCATCATGTCACCCAAACCATTCCCCAGCCCTGTGGATTCTTTGTCACGCTATGACTGTCCTGTTTAGGACTGTCATATCCACCTGGACTCTATGGCTCCCAGTGGTCTCTAGCCTCTCCCTGATCAGCCTATAGCCTTTCCCTGATCCAGCCTAGCTCAGCCTCCACTTGACAGGCCATCTTCCAAATGTGCACCTGTGACCCATCGCTTGTATGCACAGAAGTCCCCAGACGGCTCCCTGTATCCTGAGGAGATACAACTCAGTATGGCCTTCACAATCATCTAAAATCTGACTCTGTCTGCCTCCCCAGTGCCATCTCCTAATGCCCGACCTTACCCAACACCATACATTCCCCGTCTCCATGGCACCAGTCCCCATTCTGAAGACCACACTCCAATGTTGCCACTTTTAAGGTGCTTTCCCCAGTGAATTCACATCCTCCTCACCCCCATCACACCCAGTTCAGGCCTCACACCAGCCCTGAGGACATGGAGCTATGGAATGGCGTTTCATCAGCTCTGTGAAAGCAGAGTTATGTCTTGTTTATGCCAATGACATCAGTTTCCTCAGCCAGCCTCAGCCCAACCCTTCTTCCCACTTCCAGAGCCTCCCTCTGGCAGGTGGTAAGACAGCCTGACACTCCCCACCCCCTCTCAGGCTTTGACAGGCACAGCCTGCCTCGACCACACGATGCTGGGCCAGGGGTGATCAGCTCACAGCTGGACTGACTGCCCACGGGCCCCGAGGAGAACCAGGATTTAAGCACAGCAATGGCTCAGTGTAGCCAGCCTCGCCCCATTATGGATGACTATTTACAGCATGTCAAAACCCAGCCTGCTGCAAAGCCACTTCATCTGACCCAAATATTTGTTCTTTTGTAGAAAATGTATATAAAACCCCAGTAACTGGCTCACCAGAAATAGCCTGGGGGAAGGACTCTCAATGTCTCTTCTTTCTTTCTTCCCGTCTACAAGGCCCAAGTTTGAAATCAGGAGAACTTCCATCCACGATGGAACTGTAATTGACTGACTGCCTCACGTTTTAATTAGGGTTGCATTCTTGACTGGTGCCCTAACCTGAGGGGAGGGTTTGCACAAGGCCTTTCTCTCCCCACCAGGGAATGGGAACCAAGGCTCTGCACTTTGTCAGAGCCCAGGGCTCCTGGATTTGGGCCATGACTCACGGAGCCTAGCTTTTTTTTTTTTTTTTTTTTTTTTTGAGACGGAGTCTCGCTGTGTCTCCCAGGTTGGAGTGCGGTGGCGCAATCTCGGCTCACTGCAAGCTCCGCCTCCCGGGTTCACACCATTCTCCTGCCTCAGCCTCCCAAGTAGCTGGGACTACAGGCGCCCGCCAACACGCCCGGCTAATTTTTTGTATTTTTAGTAGAAACGGGGTTTCACCGTGTTAGCCAAGATGGTCTCGATCTCCTGACCTCGTGATCCGCCCGTCTCGGCCTCCCAAAGTGCTGGGATTACAGGCGTGAGCCACCGCGCCCGGCCGGAGCCTAGCTTTTTAAAGGGCTCTACACACTTGCACACACCCACAGACACATACCCTCAAACACTAACGAAACTTACTGCACTTGGATCTTGAACAGTTAACTGTTCATTTTTTCTCTTAGAGACATGGTCTTGCTCTATTGCCCAGGCTGGAGTGCGGTGGTGTGATTGTAACTTACTGCAGCCTCAAACTCTTGAGCTCAGGCAAGTCTCCCTCCTCAGCCTCCGGAATAGCTCGGACTACAGGTGTGCACCACCATGCCCAGCAATTTTTAAAAAATTTTTTTCGTAGAGATGGGAGTCTCATTATGTTGCCTGGGCTAGTCTTGAACTCCTGGCTTCAAGCGGTCCTCCTACTTCAACCTCTCAAAGTGCTGGGATTACAAGTGTAAGCCACCCTGCCCAGCGCTCATTTTTTGTCAAGACACCATCATTGCTTTGTGAAATTTAGTTGGAAATCCATTTGCCTACATAACGTAGGCAGCACCCTTCTCTTACCAGCTGCTGTGGGGATGTACTTTGTCCCCAGACCAATGTCCCACAGGTGCCAGGACACCTGGACAGCACTGCCAGGTCAAGTATGAGCCAGTGGCCTCCGCGGCCACTCCCTGCCCCTCCTCCCCCAACACCAGATTCCCTCATGGGGATGATGGTGCAGTAAAGTCAGAAAAATTGCCCAGGCTTGGCCTCCTCCAAGCTCGGATCCGGGGAATGCCCTAGCAGCTTTGTAGCCACCATAATTCAGGTGCACTGGTAACTCTGCAAAAGGATTTCAACACATGTTCTGGAGGGGTTTCTTGCCATAGAACTTACTCTTTTGCTGGTGGAGACCCAGGCCTCTGGCATAGAAATCCACCCTCTTAGAGGCTGGCGGGACTTTGCAGGAGCAGAAAAGCGCTCGCTGACCCAAGGGTGCTCTGCCACCAGAAGGGGCACCGGCCAGACGGCAGGAGGTGCTCCCCTCCCTTTATCAAGACAACGGAGGGCACACACTCTGAATGTCAGCAAGGAATCAGCACCAGGACCCTCCTGGATGAACCCCAAAGTCCCCTTTGATTCCTTCCTTTCTCTGTGCCTTCCCCCACTCGCAACCCCTGTCTCCCTCACCATGCCCTTTCCTGTCTCTTCATCCTCCCTGCCATTGATAGTTCTTGGAATGAAATATACATACTGGCTGCAGCCAATGGAAACCTGAGTGACCTGGCTCCAGCCAACTTCAACTTCTTCTTAGACCAGTTGCCCCCGACTCCCTCTGCTCTGTTGCCTTTCCAGCCTCAGGGGCACCAGCCCCTCCTGCCTCAGCACCTGCACAGCTCCTCCAGCCCTGGCTGCCTCTCTTGCAGGTCTCAGCTCAAAAACGCCTCCTCAGAGAGGTTTCCCTGAGCTCTGTCACAGGAGCTCCGCTGCCTTCTCCCTCAATCCCACCACCCTGTTGATTTTTTACAGCACTTATCACAATCTGCAATGGTCTTTTAAATCTACATGTGTATTACTGATAAGCCATGCCCCTTTTCCAGAAGTGCAAGGACAGGGACCTTGTCTCAGGCACTGTTGAATCCCCAGAATGGGGCACCATGGCTGGCACACAGCATGTGACTGGAAAATATTTCCTCCAACAAATGAATAGAAAGCTTCCCCATTTAAAAAATAACCAGGGAAATAACTGTAACCAGCTAAGAGCACAGATAGGTGTGTTGCTCGTAGGGCAAAATTTGAAGATAATTTAAATAACCAATAAAGGCAGATTATGTCAATCAATGCTTTGGCATTATTAATTATTAAATACTATTTAACAAGGACGAATTAGATTTTTCAACCATTGACATGAAAGGTACCCAAGATTCTCTAAGTGAAAAAAGCAGATTCCACTATGCATAAGCATACTTTCATGTACAGTAAAATGAAATGATAGCACTAAATAGCGTGTTTATATGTGCATCAAAACCCGAAACAAGAAAGAGATTGAGGAAACTTCGAGAAATGGTGATCTGGAATTGACGTCCATAGTTTTAAACTGTGGTTATCCCTGGGGCGGGTGGTATTATGAGGTATTTTCATTCATTTCTTTTTGGTTCATATTTTCTGATTTTTAAATAATGAACATGTGTTTTCACTGCTTTTTTTTTTTTTTTTTTTTTGAGATGGAGTCTCACTCTGTCGCCCAGGCTGGAGTACAGTGGCGCAATCTCGGCTCGGCTGACTACTGCAAGCTCCGCCTCCCGGGTTCACGCCATTCTCCTGCCTCAGCCTCCCGAGTAGCTGGGACTACAGGCGCCCGCCACAACGCCCAGCTAATTTTTTTGTACTTTTAGTAGAGACGGGGTTTCACCGTGTTAGCCAGGATGGTCTCGATCTCCTGACCTCAATGATCCACCCGCCTAGGCCTCCCAAAGTGCTGGGATTACAGGCGTGAGCCACCGCGCCCGGCCTTCACTGCTTTTTTAATAAGAAAAAAAAGAATGAAATTGAAATGAAGAATAATCTCCCACTGCCCATGTTCACGGCAGCTACTGAGGGGCGGCTGCCGGCGGAGGAGCAGGGCTGGCGAGGAGCCTGTCAAGGGAGTCCCGGAACGGGAGACGGCAGAGGTGGGGCTGCTGGGAATAATTATTCTTTCCCCATTTTGAGCCCACATCAGAGAAAATACACTTGTTAGATAATGAAATCAGAAGCCTCCAGGCATATTTCCTTCCCACGGAGAAAAACCAGCTGTGGTCTTATTCACTGCACTGCTGTTCTATGCCTTGAGCTCTGAACACAGGGTCACACATTTAGATAAAGGACCCATCTGCCAACTCTGGACACCTGTAAACTCAGCTCCAGCCTCGGGAGAGTAGGAAGACCTGTTGGTGCCATGGACTCCACATACACCTCTGAAATGTCTGGAATGGGACACAGAATAGAGGCAGCTCCTCCTGATGCTTCTACACAGGTGCTAGAGGGGTTTTCCAGCAAGACCACTGCAGCAGCTCTGGGGACACTCTCCAGGCTGCACAGCACGGAGAAAGGAGTATCTGTTGTGTCCGTCTATTTCAAGTCTGCATCCTTTCAGTGTAGGGATATCTGGGAAGTCATTTTAAGAAGTAAATGTAAACCAACTGTAAGGTCTAACTGTGTTTGTCAAGAATTAATTCAAAATGGAGTTTATAGACACAGCACTCTGACCTGAGACAATTCTTTTTGCCTCTGGGCCTCGGTTTTACCATCTGTAAAATGGAAAGGCTGGACCAAATGCTACCCAAGGGCCGCTCACTATCTAGAAGAGAAAAAATTAGTTCCCGGGTTCTAACCTAGACCACTGACCACAGTAGCACAGGCATCAGGGGCGCAGCAAGGAAGAGATCCTGTGGGCTGAGGTAGGCAGGGTGAGTTTCCTGGGGAATGTGAAAGCTGAACAGTGCCTTGAAGAATGGGTCAGATTTATGTAACTGAACGGCACTGGGCACTGATGTAATGATCTCAGGCACCTGTCCCTTTTGGGCCAGCTGGAGGGCCCAGAGAGTCCTTCTCAGGGAGGGATTTAACTGTGGGTGATTTTCCTGGGCTCTGAGCTAAGGCAGGTTTGTGAATTCCAAAGCATCAAACAAGCAATAGATTCCTTTTAGAACATGCGTCATCTCATGTAGTCACTGTAAGTGATCTGTGTGAAGCCAAATAGTAACACAGTGGAATTCTTTCAGAATGAGTGGGGAAATCAGGATAGAGGATGAGGTCTTCACAAGGCAGCAGTATGGACTAGTACAATTGTTCTCAACATATGGTTTCCATACCAGCAACACTGGCATTGCTTGGGGGCTTGCTGGAAGTGCAGGATGGCAGGCCTCCCTCACCCAGCTTCACTGAATCGCACACTCTGGAAGTGAGGCCCAGGAATAGGTTTAACAAGTCTTCCAGGTGACTTTCAGACAGGTGAAATTTGATAACCACTGCACTGGTGGAAGGAAGAGAGGGTCCAGAGTCACACGGCAAGGGTTCAAATCCCAGCCCCAGCAAGCTGAATATACCCAGCAACTCAACCTCTACTCGGTTTTCTCATCTGTAAAATGAGATTCATTCATTTTTATCCAGGAGGACTGTTGAGAAGATTCAAGTAGTTAATATATGTAAAGTGCCTATTACAGTGCCAAGTATTAAAAAAATTGAAAAAATATAAATTTAAAGTCACTAGAAGGAAACTTACAAAATGATAGTGGTAGCTGTTGGAAGGGAAAGGGGTGTTATAGGTGATTTCCCTTCCCCTCCTATCTGTTTCCCAAATTTTTTTTTTCTTTTTTCTTTTTTTTTCTTAGACAGAGTCTTGCTCTGTCATCCAGGCTGGAGTACAGTGGCACGATCTCAGCTCACTGAAACTTCTGCCTCCCAGGTTCAAGCAATTCTCCCTGCCTTAGCTTCCAGGGTAGCTGAGATTACAGGCGTCCGCCACCATGCCTGGCTAATTTTTGTATTTTTAGTAGAGACGAGGTTTCACCATGTTGGCCAGGCTGGTCTCAAACTCCGGACCTCAGGTAATCCGCCCACCTCGGCCTCCCAAAGTGCTGGGATTACAGGAGTGAGCCACTGCGCCCAGCCTGTTTCACAAACTTTTGATGAGGCAATTATGTTACTTTGAAAGCACAAAAGAAACATCTGTAGAATGCAGTGAGACCCCCACAACCAAAGCTCTGTCCCTCAGGGCTGGGTGGTGGTTTACACGCTGAGGAGCACATATCATTGTACAGTGCAACCTCTCCCAGGGACATGTGGGCACCAAGGCCCCAGCGCCAGCAACCATGGCTCCCTGGGCTGCACAAAAGCAACTCACATGGAGAGAACAGATCTTAGAGGCCCTGGCTCATCAGTGACAGAGCAGGGCCCAGCTGAGCATGTATGCACACGTGCGTGCCTGGGTGTATGTGAACATATGTACCCAAGTGCAGGCTGGTGTTGGGGAGAGGTGGATGCTCACGATCCTCACCCAAAGAGTTGGCCATGAGTTCCAAACTCCCTCGCTGTGCACACAGGGGAGTCAAGGCCCAGAGAGAAGACACTAGCCCAACCAAAGCTATACCTTGAGCTGGCAGCAGAATCAGGATGAGAACCCAGAGTCCAGCCTCGCTTAACCTGGGCTGAGAGATGTGGTGTAGAACTTTCTATATATTGTCCGAAAAGGAGACTTAAAGGGAAAGGCTGGGACATTGCAAAGCAAAATACTAAAGAAGTACCGGGAGGCTTTGCTGGTTCTGTTGGGGGAGCCAACGGCCCCAAATCATTCCTTGCATCATGTAAAATCTTTTGAAATTTTCAGGGTATGCCAAGTTCCAATTCAGCCCTCAGGTTTGGGCACGAGAAGAGGGACATTGTTCACCACTCGGCCACAAATGACAATTTGACTCACAACAGCCACTGAAACCCTGAGTATCAATCATATAACATAATTAAGTGTGTGTGTGGCGGGGGGTAGGATGGTAAACAAGGTACCTTTCTTGCCTCCAAGGGACTGACGACCTGTATGATGCACTCTGGCAATGGTGCCTGCACACAACAGTTGTGTGGTCATTGTTGGTGCAGGTAGGCGAGAGGAGCTGAGACCGGGACACCCATCACAGCAAAAGACAAAGCATAGTAAAGTGATTATGGAGTGCCAGGAAGGAGGGATAGAAGTTGAGGGAAACTAGTGAAATCCTATACCCATGCCAGACCCTAAACACCTACCTCGCAACATCACTGGGGGAAAATGGGCCTTCAGGTCCCAAGCCTCACATGCAGGGGGACAGCGGAAGACACAGCCACTTGCCGCAGAGTGACTCAGCTCCCCTACATTTCTGCCCATGCAGATTCCTAGACCTGCCCACGTCAACACTCCAAGGCCTTCTGCGGACACGGTCCAAACTCTGTTCTCTCTGGATGGCAGCTGTCGTGGATGAGGCCATGCGGCAGGTGCTCTGTCATTAATCCGTTAGCAGTGATAGCCTGCAATGCTCCATCAGGGTGTGACATATTTCGACACCAATCAAGAAATGAGTTTTCACGCATGCTGATGGCTAATCAAGGCTGCAGGCAGAGACAGACTCTGGCACGCTTGTTAATGGCATTCTCTATTAAACGGGAGCCGCCCAGGTATAAAATAACCACCCAGATAGGAGCCTCCATGAGCACAGGAAGATGGGCAAACAGACAGCTGATGGGCTCCCAACATTGTTTTACTTAACTACAACATGCCAGAATATTCCACAGAACAGATTCCAGTGTTTAAAAATATGTCACAAAACTGACATCAAGGACCTTGCTCATACACTGACAGGATTTTACATTTTTATCTTAAAATATTTCCCAGTAGGTGAATTACCCAAATTAGTCAATAATAGACCCCAAAATTACTATGTTTAGCCAATTGAGTGTGACACCAAAACGCCTGACCACATGAGCCATCTCTCCCTCAAAGCCATTTTAACGTGACTGTCCGCAGGCGCTGAAAGGTTGCAATTTTGCTGTGATGATGAAATGCCACAGCAGAAGGCCATAAACTAATAAACACGGATGTGGCCACGCAGAACACGCCACCCCTCTGAGCCTCACAGAGAACTCAAAGTTACTGTTAACACCTAGAAGTTTTAAAAAATGTTATTTCCGCCAATATCAATTTTTCATCAGGACACACCATCTAAAGCATGACTTCCCACTGTGAGAGACTTTTCTGGCAGCTCAGGTTAAAGAAGTCATTCAGTAAAAGAGTGATTTTTGACAGATTCATTCATTTCCTGTGGTAACACCGTATTGTTAAGTTCACCTCCATTTTGGTGTAAATATAGAACGCCGCAAAAATATTCAGCCCAGAATGATCAACGTGTGGCCCCCTTTCAAACTGGCTCTTGCACAGTTTTCGGCTGTGCAATTAGCCAGCACCTTCTTGTGGAGTCAGGAGACCTGAGCTCCTGTTAGGTACTGTTTTGGGAAAAAGAGTAGGGACATTCAGAGGCACCATGCAGCGGTCACCTGGGATATGAAATGCCAGATCAAGAGGCCTGGGTATCAGTAAGCAAATCGTTTAATGGCTCAAATCCACATCACTCTATAAAAGAGTGCTATCACTTTTCTGGTTAGAATAAGAAAAGGCCTTGAAAGCAATGTTCTTTTCTGAATGACACATGTGGCTCTGTTAGAGGTTAGATTTCAGGGTGCGTCATGTGTACTTCACCCTCATGGCAGACTGTATCACCCCCCGCTAGAACACAGAAGCTTCCAGAAGAGCTGTCAGCTGAGGCTGGGTCCAGCTGTGCACTGAGACCTTGGCAGAAAGAGCTGGCAACCTGGCCCTTTGCTGTCCCAGTCACGGCTCTGAGTGCTGCACTGGATTCTCGGGCCATACTTTCCATGGGATGTTGACAAACTGCAGCCCATTTAGAGACGTGACTCAGATGCCAAAAGTACATGAAAAGTATGTGTGAGCCAGGGCAGGAGACATTCTTGCAGATTGGGCGTTTATTTGCAGCAGCGGGGAGGGTGTCTTTGCTTCTTTACATGCCTGAAAGGCCTTCCTGTAGCAGGCGGACCAGGTGCGCACTGGGAGACCCCGAGGGGCAGAAAGAACCAGAACTGGAGGGGAAAAGCTGATGGAAGAGGGGCCTCCCCTCAGTTGGGCTAGGAGCTCCTGCTCCTGGAGGTGACCAGTGGCCGCCGGGAAGTCACTTGGCAGGGGAGCCCTGGGGAGCTCATGAGTCAATGATTCCATAAATAATAGTACCTTGGATTGATACATTTGAGGATGGGTTGTGGCAGGTCAACCAGCTGGAACAGATACAAATAAATGTTCCTGCAGGAGGGTCACAAAACACCTGCAGAGCCTGAGTACAGTAGAATGGTTTCTGCTGTTGCGTAAGTTAACCCTCTGCCCTACTCATCCCCTCCTCCCCGCTTCCCACAGCCTTCCAGAACCCAGTTGTCCCTCCCAAGAGCCTTTCCCATGACCCTGAGGCCATCTCCCCACCTCAAAGGCACTCCCCAGGCATGGGAAGGGTGCAGTCATCCTCTGTGATCAGTATCTTTGAAATGGCACACACCCTTGTCCCAGAACACTGGAAGAATGCACACATGGGAGCCTGGGAGAATGTATACACAGCATGCTCTTGGCCACCCTGAGGCCCTGGGCGGCCTCTTCCCACCTCTCTGGGCTTTGATTTGTGCCCTATGAAGAAAGAGACCCAGCCTGGATCACTATTGTCCTGTGGTCCTTCCAGTGCTCACAAATGGTACAAGGAACAAAATTCCACCTGGCTGCTATTGTTCTGCCAAGTCATGTGACAGCCAGTTCTCAGAAATGATGTCGCCTGCACCCAGTACACCCAGTCTAATCTAAGGCAAGCTGGCAAAGCAGCTTAGCGGGGATCAGCCAAGGGCTGCTCCTTTCGGGGCTGCAGTCTGGGGGGACACTGGCTTCCTTTCATCTGTGTCTCCAGCTCACTCCCTATCCCCACACCAGGGTAGGACGCAGGCAGGGGGCTCACCCTGCTACCTGCCCAGCGTTGCGTTCTTTGAAGGATGAACTCAAAGGCAACACTCCTAAATGCCCTCACCTCTGGCTAGCTTTTGGCATTTGCTATGGGACCCTGGTCTGGCCGGCCCTGGAGAGAGAGGTATTTGCTGGCGCCCAAGGAGGAAGCCATACATTCCTTAGCAGGCGGGGACTGGTTGTTCCCCACCCTCACTTCTCTCCCCTTCTCCAGCTCCCTCCTGAAATCCCTGGGCTTTGTGTCTCTAGATCAGCATTTCCAATTCTGTTTTTGACTAATGAACTCCTTTCACAGTAATCTATAATTTCACAAACCCCCTACAATTAAAAAAAATCATTTTATCATTTTTGCATGGCTTATGGTAAAAAAGATTTTTAGTTAAATATTTTATATGAGTATATTATTCAAGGATTATATTAAATGAGCATTAAAAGACCATTTTTTAATAACGTTCATTATATATAAAGACACATTTCAACATTTTCCCATTTAACGTTATACACAACATTTCATTTCCTTTAAATTAGTTGTGCAAGGAAAGACTGATTTGTTGACAAATAAAAAATGACATTTTGGTTTGGGGACCAACATATCTAAAACATAATTGAAACTTAATTATGTGCATCAGCTTTAAAAATAGATAAAAACTGCTTTTGTGACCCGATCGTTAGAATTCGTGCATTTTTGAGCGTAAGGAAAATCAACTGCAGTGTTTTAGTAATGTTCAAATGTTATCTAAATGATGAGATAAAGCGAGATTCGGAGAGAGATTTATAAGTCCTTCTTCCAAATAACACATTGCTGGTAATAATTTTTTCTAATCAATAAAAGGCAAGCTGGTTAAATTATCTCTGTATTATCTGCCCCCCACACCCTTCTTTCTTCCTCTCATTTGATGTACTAAAGACATTTAGATGACCTATATAAGAACTTGGATCAGATAGATGATCACAACTTATGGATCTGGTAAAAACAACCTTGAGGCAAATTTGCAGAATTATCATTCTTAGGCTCCTCATTAACTTGGGGTGGCTCCACATAAATGTTTTTTATGTTTCCTGTCTTTGTCACTTTTTATAGCCAAAGCGGTCCACTTTGGTTATAAATGAAAGCATAGATGACAAATAATAGAAACAATTTAACAGTGTAGAGCAGTCAAAGTGAACCAAGGAGATAAACCAAATGGTGACCGAGTCTGATTTCCGTTCGCCATGCATTCTCTCACAGGAAACATGCACACGCAAATGCACCCGCCCACGCACACACATGCACACGTGCACACTCAGAGGCTCCCAAAGTTCCATATTAGGGGAAACTATGTAAGGAATTATTGGCTGACTTTTACAATAGGTAATTTAAATCTGATGCATTTCCCACCTTTGATAGCAGTAAGCCCCAAGCACTTGTTCTAGAAGTATCGGTTCTACCCACCGTTCCTCAGAGAGGAGTGGTGGATGGTGCTGTTATTACAAGAAAAGGAGCAAGAGCCCCACTGTCCTTCAGGGAGCCACGTGTGAAGAGGCAGCACCTCAGGGCTGTGCTGGGTGTGACAGGTGGACAGCTGGGCAGGAAGGGAGAGAGAGCGGATGCTCCAGCGAAGCCACTAAGGATGGTGAATGGGGTCGGGGAGAGATTGGAGCCGTGCAACCTGTGACAAAGCTCCCTGCTCGTCTTCAGGGAGAAAGACACACTGCTGCTGTTTCATATGTGTGGTGGAGGAGCCTGGCCTATGCGGACACATCGTTGTGCTGGGGTTACCTGGCTAGGACACTCCAGGATGGAGAAGGAGCTCAAGGGGAGGCCCCGGGGCACCAGCTGAGGCCCAGGAGGACCAGCGAGATCCCACACCGCACCCCCTGAGCCCATGGAGAATGGAATGGTGTTCCCACAGGACCCCCGCCCGCCAGGCTGAGGCTAGGCCTCTCTGACTGACCCCATGGCCAGCAACAGACCCGCCAAGTCGTAGGGGAATGACGCACTCCAGAAATCACAGAGGCCATTTCCCTTTGAGAGAAACACCAGCCCAGAGCTCTGCTTTAAGTCGTTTGAGAATCTGAGAGGACAAGGCACGGACTGTGACACTGCTTAAGAAGTTCTCAGAGAGGATTTGAATGCAAATGCAGACAAAGCAGGGGACAGCCCGCGCAGGGCAGCTCTCAGGGCAGGGCGGAAGGGACCCCTTCGGTGAAGAGAGAAGACCCTGGGGTGGGAGGCACGGCCTGGGGAGGTCAGGCCCGGGAGGTCAGTCGGCCAGGCTGACCACGCAGCAGACGCCTCTGGTGGCCCCAGAATTGCCCTGCAGAGCCCGGCCCTGGACAGCAGCCGGGAGAACCATCCAGGCTTTTCTGTTCGCAGGGAAAAAAGAACAGTAAGCGGATGAGTGAAAAACACTTCCTGTGACCAGGAACTTCCCAGGGACCACCTGCGGGGCCCGCCAACCCCACTGTCCACGCTGAGGCCTGCGGCTCCCCGCCACGGCTCCATGACAGCCAGGCCCTGAGGCCCCGAAGGGCCAGTCGGCAAGACCCATTCAAGGGCTGCTTTTGTTGAATGACTTGAGTTTGCATTTTCTAAGCAATAGGGGCATAAATGGCTTGCTGGCATTTCACCAACAGAGGTGTGGGCGAGTGACTGGATCCCTCGCAGGCTCAGCACTGAATGGGGAATTCAAGGCCTCCTGGAGGAGCACAGCGGCATCCATCAGGAGTGCAGAGCACAGCCCTTCCCACCCACCTGCACATGCAGACTGCACAGACACACGAACACACACACAGGCACACACACAACACACAGAGACACAGACACACAGACACACACGGGCACTGCCCGCTCACCTGCACAGGCGGACCGCATGACACCCAGACATACACACAACACAGACAAAGACACACGGACACACACACAGGCACATACACAACACAGACACAGACAGGGACACACACACAGGCACACAACACAGAGACACAGACACACAGACAGGGACACATACACAGGCACACAACACAGAGAGACACAGACACATGGACACACACAGAGACACACATAACACACAGAGGCAGACACACAGGGACACACAACACACAGACACAAAAAGACACACAACACACAGGAACATACAACACACACAGGCACACACACAACACAGACACATAGGCATATGAAAATACAGAGACACACACAGACACACACACACAAACACAACACACAAAGACATACACAGACCCACTGGCACATGTACACACATAAGGAAACACAAAATGCACAGAGACACACAGATACATAGGCACACACAGACACAGACACATGAACACACACACAAACACACTACACACACAGACATAGACACACTGGCATACAGACACAGAGACACATAGATACACAGATACACAAAGAACACACACTCACACAGACACACACAACACACAAAGACCCACCCATACTGACACACTCACACAAACATACAGACAGCAAAGGGAGACACACTGACACACACAGAGACACACAAACACATGAACACACACAGACATAAGACATATGACACACAGATACACTGACAGAGACAAACACATGAACACACACACAACATATGACACACACAGACACACAAAGGCAGACACACTGACTCAGACACAGAGGCAGATAAACTGACACAAACACAGACACACAGATACACACATACATACAGAAATACACATTCACACACAGACCTGGTCTTTGGAGCCAGAGATGTACATACACACAGACAAATGGACACACACACAGATGTATGAACACATATGCACACAGACACACACACACACATGAACACACACACATACACACAACACAGAGACACACTAACAGACACAGTCACACATACACAGTCACACACACAACATATAACACACACACACAGGTTCACACACCAAGACACACAGGCACATGAACACACACTCAGACACACAAAGCAGACATGCCGACACAGACACACAGACACACACAGCTACAGACACACACACACACACACACACACACACACACACACACACAATCTTGTCTAAACCTTCCTTCCTGACATTCAGGACAAGCAGAATGACTTTGTACCAGAAATCCTTCACTTCTCCCCTCCAGGAGCAGCCACCCCAAAAGAGGAGGAGAGGAGAGGAGAGGCAGAGACGGCCTCCACTTCCCTGTGCTCTGTAGGGAGGCCCTACTGGGCCCCCAGCCCAGCCTCCGGCTCTGCCCTGACCATGTGATCTTCAGGAGCAGACACCCCTTCAGCAATGGACAGACCACAGATCACTACAATCCAGGCCATGCCGGGAGACACCACAAGACAGGTGCCAACCATTGTCTAGCATGTGACAGACCAGGAGGACTGCAGGGGCTCAAAGGACCTGGAACAGGTGGAAGAAACATTGAGTGGAATTACAGGGTGGGCTGGAGCCTTGTCTACACTACTGAGCGAGTCACCCTGCCTTTCTGAGCCTCAGCTTCCCTCTCTGTAAGGAGGGGACACAATGATACCTACTTCCCAGAAGGTTGCTGTGAGGACTAGTGTGCGAAGATGTTAATGAAAGCCCCTGGCCTGGCGCCTGGCCAGGTCTCTAAGGTCTCTGTTGACTGATAAAGGAGGAGGAGGAGGCAGCCAGGGCTTCTGGGAGGGTGTGAGATTGATGCTCGGCTTTGAAGGTTGGGTATAATTTGGGTGGGGGGGTGGCGGAAAGATGAGTCGTACATGTGCCACTCATAGTGACTGCCCCACCCAGAGGCCCCGCTGACAGATGGGCCTCAGCAGTGCCATTTCTGGAAAAGGGTGGACGTGGCTGGGAGCAGAGATGGCCCCAGACCCAAAGGCGGCCAGCACAAGGTCCAGCAGGCACTCTGCAGACACCCTGGCACCAGGAGCTCTGGCAGGTGGGGCAGGGGCAGTTAGCTAAGCTCACTGGACTCTCTGCCTTTGGAATTTCTTGCCAGAAAATACACACGATCTATCAGTTGACATCAGGAAGAAAACTAAGAAAGGTGCGGCAGAATCTGCTCAGAGGGCAGCAGTCGCTTTGTGAGCAGGGCCCTGAGATGAAGACGCATGGAGGACTCCAGACAGCCCGGTCTCGGGAGCCAGCGGGCCTGTGTTCCTGTGGGATTCCGCCTCCCGTAAAACAAGCCCCATTCCTTGACATAGCTTAAGTGAGTCTCTGACCCTTTAGCTCAACGGGCTGCACGCAGTGAGAATTTCAGGCAGGAGGAAGCAGTGACGGGATCGGTGTGGACGCAGCAAGGAAGGAGAGGAAACAGGGCTTCGAGGGACGGCCACAAGGTGGGCGAGTTCCAGCTGTAGACAGCTCTGAAATGGCTGAGGGATTGTTCTTATTGGATAGACGATGCGGAGTCCGTGAGGGTCGCTGGGCAGGAGGGAACAGGAGGGGACACAGGTACAGTGATCTGATGGTGGGCGAGGCCAAGGGTCACCACATGCTGACGTAGGACCCCCCGTGCCGGCCACACAAGCAGCCTGTGTCTCCGTGTGTGGGGAAACCATGTTATTCTGCAGGCATTCCACGAGTGAAAGCACTGGACGCCCTTATCTAACCTTTGTGATGTGTTACATGACAAGGCCTCTGTGGCTCAGTGGGGAGAAGGGAGTGGTGAAGTCAGCCAGCCAGTCAACAGCCGAGCTGGGACAGGCAGCCTAATCCTGGAGTAATGACTGGCCCCAAGTCCCTTCCTCTCAACAAATGACCTATGAGCCAGGAACAGAATCGCCTGAGTGGGGAAAAGGCCAGGCTGAGAGACCAGCCGCACCCCAAAGCGCAGCCCACGGGAGCCCTCAGACCCCAGCCCCACTGCGACACGGGCCTCAGCACTGAGCCCAATGCCAGACTCCTGGTTAAGGCCACTGTTATCCTGAGGACTCATTCCGCTCGACATTTTTCAGGGAAAGGGCAATTAAAAATCTATTCTGAATAGAGCGAGGACATACTTTCAGAATGAAATTGAGAAGATGCCCTGGAAATAACAGAGCATCCAAGTCCACAGTGATTAAAGAGATGAGTCAAGCCTAGCGAGACAGGGACAAGGAGGAAAGTCACATGTGTACGTGAGTGCAGTCACCCCGGCTGTGGGCTCCCACCGACAGCGCGGGCCACAGACGGCCCTGCAGCTCCTGTGATGGCTGTGCCCTCCCCAGGTGGGACCCTCCAGCCTGGGGAGCGCCAGGACAGACCAGGAGCCTTTATCTGGCCTCCTTCACTGGCTCAGAGGTAGCAGAAATGACTCAAGAGAGGGAGAGAAACAGAAGGCAGGGGAGCGGGACAGTTCTGGCCAGAGGGCGGGGCCAGTGTCTGCAGAGTTCAAAATTATAAGTCACAAATGTGACCTTATGGAAGCTCTTCTTTTTGGAAAAATCATACTGGTCTGGCAATCTGGAAGCCGAGTTTTCTGACTTGGCCTGTTTTAATTTAGTCAGTAGGACAATTTACTAGTATCTGTGGTCTGCAACTCCAGACTCTAAAAGACACCAATGGGGCGTGTGACGGGGCAGGAGTTGGAGGCAGTAATGAATCCTAACAGTACTAGGAGAAAGACAAAGCCTGTTCTTTACCTATAGATTCCTTTACCATGGAAAGTGCCATCTGGCACCTTGTGGAACTCATGTGCCAATAAGTCAAGCCTAACATGGGCACTAAGGGGCAGGGAAGGGGGGATCAGGATTGACGAAGTGCATG